>NC_000005.10:179823356-179973802 GCF_000001405.40 Homo sapiens | reverse complement strand
CACCCTGTGTGTGGCGGGCCTGTTTTTTATTTATGTGTGTTTTTATCACGTGAGTGGGGAACTTCTTTTCAAGGCCCTACTTGCCCCAGGTGCCTCTTTCTGAGGCCTCCTGGGTGTCCATGGAGCACCTTCCATAATGAGAGCCCAGAGCCATAGTGAGGGTGAGCGCGGTCAGGCGTGCGGGAATGGCCAGGTGGCGGGGCCGCTCTGCCCGTGTGATGGCCCTGCAGGTGCTCAGCCTTGGCCCACATGCTGTGTTGCATTGACTGCTCCAGACACTTCCCAAGGTAGATTAAACGCCCCTGGCCCAGTCCTTAGCTGAGACCTCTGCACAGCAGAAAGGTGGTTTGCCGAGCACCAGACTGTTGTAGCAGAACTTTGCCTAGAAGGGAAGAAAAGGCCACAGTGAGTTCAGTGAAAGTTGCACTGAAGAGACTAGCAGGAGGGTTAGACAATGGGTGATGAGGAGAAAAAGGTGCCGTGTTCAGGGCAGCTGCCTGTGGAGATCACAGAAGAGACAGGAGAGGAGGGCCATGGGTGAAGAGAACAGCCACCCAGCTTTGTGGAAGCGAGGGATGTGCCATGGGAATTTGAGACTGAAGATCTCTGGGTGAGTTGCACAGAAGCTGGACTAGCGGGGAATTTGGAAAGACAGGAGGGAAGGGTGTTCAGTGCTCAGAGGTAGGGTCAGGAGTAAGAGAGGGATGGGGTGGATGGAGAGCCCAAAGGAACTTTTTTTTAAAGACCAAAAATATTTCAGATTTTCATTTAGCTGAGGAAGGGAGGTTTTCTAAATTTGTCACCAGAGAACCAGTTGGTCTTTTTTGTTTTTCTTCATAGTACCCCACAGCCTAGAGGAGAAATTTTTAATTGTTTAGTAAAACAGAGGGGTGGGCACTTCTTTTATATCAATAATCCTAGAAGGAAACAGTTACTCAAGAACCCAAACATATTTATAACTAATTTCAGGTTAAAGAAACAGGCAGAGAACACTGTACTCATGCAGCTTTAAAAATGAAATATGAGGATTATACCATTTGGTTCTTTCTGGATAGTAAGAGAAAAGAAAGACGGAACAATAAGAAAAGGGCAAAGCAAAATCTGGCCCCAGTAGGGAGCACCAGAGCCGCACCTCCATCCCCCCAGGTGGTGCTGCGGCTTTACCAGGTCCCCACCAACAGTTCAGCAAGCCCAGCCACCCCCCACCCTCATCTGGATACCTCTCACTCCTGCACCAGAGCCCTGATCAGAAGTCAAGGCACCTAGGCCTCCCCCGACCCCCAGCGGGATGCCTCCCATTCCTGCACCAGAGCCTTGATCAGAGGTCACAGCATCATATGTCTTCCATTACCTGTCAGTCAGCCAAGTCCCATCGTCCACCCTGTGTAGGCCTGACCTGCAGCACCTTCCCGGCCACCCCACCCTAGCGCTAACCCAGTGCATAGGTCCGTACTCCTCCTGAAAATGTATGCAAGGTACTAGGCATTTGCGTCCCCGTGACTTTTCAGAGGGAGGTTCTGTAACTTCTATCAGATCTAAGGGAGTTTGTATGCCCCAAAAGGGTTAAGCCTGTTGTGGTCTTTGTTGGTCAGTAGCCAGCATTAGTGCACTTGACCCCTGCTGGAAAGTCCAGCTGGCCCTGGGGACACCCTGGAGTAAGGAACCACTCCACACACAGAGGCTACGAGTAACAAGACATAACGCCTTAGGTGTACTGAATGTATCTGGGGCTTACCTATGGATTGGTGGGTTTCCAGCCCTTAAGTAAAAGCTTTAAGGTTTAAATAAATGCCTTCAGGGGTGATGGTTCTGGTTATTTCATTGTCTGTGAATTTAAGACTAGATTGATAAATTCATTCTTCAAGATCTTTACTCTTGTCCCCAAAGAAGTGAGTATAAGGCCATCAAACAGTGATAGGCAGACGTGTGTGTATATTGTTCAGGCCAAAGTTGTAAGCATGAATGTTTGTTCCAGATCCCAGTAGAAACTGAGTTCTCTAGACCTCTTTTTATAAATCAAAACTGCATTTTTAAACAGCTGTAAATAACATTAACTTAGAAATTGACAATCAAAGTTGTAAAGGTATATACCATGATTCAATTTGGCATCTTACTTAAAAATTTCTTTTATCTTGGCCGGGTGTGGTGGCTCACGCCTGTCATCCCAGCACTTTGGGAGGCCGAGGCGGGCGGATCACGAGGTCAGGAGATGGAAACCATCCTGGCTAACATGGTGAAACCCCGTCTCTACTAAAAATACAAAAAATTGGCTGGGCGTGGTGGCGGGCTGCTGTAGTCCCAGCTGCTTGTGAGGCTAAGGCAGGAGAATGGTGTGAACCCGGGAGGCGGAGCTTGCAGTGAGCAGAGATTGCACGACTGCACTTCAGCCTGGGCGACAGAGCAAGACTCCGTCTCAAAAACAAACAAACAAAAATTTCTTTTATCTTATCCCAAACTCAGATTAGTGTTTCTTCCAAAGCTGCCCTGAACGTCTGTCCTGGCACCCACCTTCTCCCTGTTTGGCCAGGACTCTAGAGCTTCAGAAGGCTGCTGGGCCGGGTGCTAGAGCTTGAGAAGTAATTTCTGCAGCTCTTCCGGAGGGCACAAGTTCCTTTTTTTAAGAATGCAAAACCCTGTATGACTGACTTATTTCCAGTCACAAGACTGTGACTTTCTACTTGCCTGAATAAGAGAGAAAATCTCCCATCCTCCCCCGTTAACATTTCAGCTGAAAATTGCTGAGTGTTACTTGAATCTAGGCACAGTTTACCCCTTAAAATAGTTTCAGCTTCCCTGTAGCTTTTATAAACATTCAACATAAGTTGCTTAGAAGTTTTTAAAAATGATGTTTTAAATGACATTCAATCAGGGTGCCAAAAAACTAATCACTATACAGAGAACTCTTCACTTAGCCATGATTTAGTATCTTTTTGAAACTCCATTTTTCTATGTTAGCTATTGTAGAAAGCATAACTGGTTTATAAGGTGTGATTATTTTCATTCTTAATAAATTTTCTAAGTTTCCATTAGTCCTTTTTGGAATTTGGTAAAATAAAAGGCCCAAACAACCAAATCCTACTTAGCAGTTCTTACACGGTGTTGTACATATGAGGTTGGGCTCAGGAGATTTTCTGCAAGTTATATTTTAATAAATTCCCAATATTTGTCTCTTGGGGCTTAAAATATGTCCTGAAAGGGGGAAAAGAAAACTTAACTAAAAATTCCCTTTCTTTCCATTTTGGCCTAATAAGTTTCTTGGTATGTAACTTGTGACATAATTCTCCATTATTTTATAGGCATGTTTTCCACAAATCCTGCGTGGATCCCTGGCTTAGTGAACATTGTACCTGTCCTATGTGCAAACTTAATATATTGAAGGCCCTGGGAATTGTGGTACGTTTCCTATTTTATTTGTTACCACTTTTGTATATTATTATATGTATGTGTAATACAATATAACATAATTGGCATAATAGGAGGCATGACTAAGACACAGAAGAAAACACTGGCTATATTTGCCATGTAACCATGTAAGCCCAACAGGACCTTTTTACCAGATTACTAAGAAGTCTAATCCATCTCAGAGAACTCCTGGAAGAGAAGGTAAATAACTCTACTAGGCCTTTTTTTTTCTTTTTTTAAATTTAAGAGACAAGGATTCACTCTGTGGCCCAAGCTGGAGTGTAGTGGTGCAATCATAGCTTACTGTAACCTCGAACTCCTGGGTTCAAGCAGTCCTCCCACCTCGCCTTCTGAGTAGCTGGGACTACAGGCATACACCGCCATGCCTGGCTAACTTTTTTGTTTTTTTGAGAGGGAGTTTTGCTCTTGTTGCCCAAGCTGGAGTACAATGGCACGATCTTGGCTCACTGCAACCTCCGCCTCCCAGGTTCAAGCGATTCTCCTGCCTCAGCCTTCTGAGTAGCTGGGATTGCAGGTGCCCGTCACCACCCCTGGCTAATTTTTTGTATTTTTAGTAGAGACAGGGTTTCACCATGTTGTCCAGGCTGGTCTCCAACTCCTGACCTCAGGTGATCCACCCGCCTCTGCCTCCCAAAGTGCTGGGGTTACAGGCGTGAGCCACCGTGCCTGGCCACTTTTTTATGTTTTGAAGAGACAAGATGTTCAGGCGGGTCTCAACTCCTGGCCTCAAGTGATCCTCCTGCCTCAGCCTCCCAAAGTGCTGGGATTATAGGCGTGAGTCACCACACCTGGCATGGTCCACTTTTAAAAGGGTGCTTCTGTTGGTCGATGAGTATGGGATGAAGAAAGAGAGAAGGACATGATTTTTCTTCATTCCAGTACCTACCTTTAGAAGGTAGGCTGTATGCTGTTGACTCTGTTCCAGTCATAAACTCCTCTGTGCTTGGCATAATATAAAACGATGTCATTGCTTATGTTCTTTAGCCTGAAGTTTGACTTTGATCTCTTGAGGGTTGGTAAGTTGCAAGCAGAGAAGGCAGGCAGTGACTGGAGCCCAAGGAGAACTGTTGACAACCACAGCCTGGCAGGGGCTGTCGCCAGGCGTGCCAGAGTCCAGCTGTGGCAGGTGCCAGGTCAACACTGACTTGAGTAACCAAGGACCTTCGTTAGCCCTTGCTTAAGAGAAGCATGTATAGCCAGGGTTATGCTTTTTATTGGAAAATAACATAGTTTCTGGTCTCAAAAAAGAATGAAAGAATGATCTCCTTATGGAACAAAAAGTTTAGTTTGATCCAACAGATGAACTCATTTTAGCTTGCAACCCAAAGGAGATCGAAGTCATCTTATTTTAAATATACTGTCAAACACAGTTTCAGTGTATACAGTTGGGCAGTAATGCCCCATTTGTCCTTTGTCTCCAGAGATCATGTCAGTAGTGATGGGATTTCTCAAAGTATCGGGCATTAGTGACACCATGGACTGGACAATCCCTTCTTGTGGGGGCTGTCCTGTGCATCGTAGACCGTTCAGCAGCATCTAAATGCTAGTAGCATGGCACCACAGCCACGACAGTCAGAAATGTCTCCAGACGTTGCCAGATGTCCCCCAGGGAGCAAACTCACCCCCATTTCAGACTGGTCTAACATAGAGCATCTGCCATGATGCCTAGCACAGTGTAGAAACTTTCTCTCTTTTTTTTTTTTTTTTTTTTTATGAGACAGAGTCTCCCTTTGTCACCCAGGCTGGAGTGCAGTGGTGTGATCTCAGCTCACTGCAACCTCCACCTCCCAGGTTCAAGCAGTTCTCATGCCTCAGCCTCCCTTGTAGCTGGGATTACAGGCACCTGCCACCACACCTGGCTAATTTTTGTGTTTTTAGTAGAGATGGGGTTTCCCCATGTTGGCCAGGCTGGTCTCAAACTCCTGACCTCAAGTGATCTGCCCTTCTCGGCCTCCCACAGTGCCGGGATTACAGGCGTGAGCCACCGTGCCTGGCCAACAGTGTAGAAACTTGAAAAACAGTAACTTACCCTCTGTTGTTACCGCTAGCCGCCGCCTTCTTTTTTTGTTTGTTTGTTTGTTTGTTTTGAGACAGTCTTGCTCTGTCGCCCAGGCTGGAGTGCAGTGGTGCGATCTCGGCTCACCGCAAGCTCCGCCTCCTGGGTTCATGCCATTCTCTTGCCTCAGCCTCCCGAGTAGCTGGGAGTACAGGCACCCGCCACCATGCCCGGCTAATGTTTTGTATTGTTAGTAGAGACGGGGTTTCACCGTGTTAGCCAGGATGGTCTCGATCTCCTGACCTCGTGATCTGCCCGCCTCGGCCTCCCAAAGTGCTGGGATTACAGGCGTGAGCCACCGCGCCCAGCCTGTTTGTTAAGTATATTAAGTGCTAATACTTTTCTCCTCTGTTTATAACAAAAATCCTCCTAAAATGTATTGCAGGTTATCATTGGATCCTTAAATGTAATGAACATAAAAAAACCTCTTTTAACTGGGTGTGAGCCTAAGCATCACTTAGTACACTGCCTTTTGCTGTTTTAAATAAGGCTTTGAGATGACCTGAAACAGTTCTTTTGCCCAGGAAGCCATTAGTTCCAGGTTTGGTTGGCTGAAACTTCTCTCTATAAACATACAAACTTCTCACAACCACCCCTCCCAGCTGTGCTTCTCATGTGCTGCCTGCTGCTGCCTGCTGAGAGAACCAAAGGTTGTTAGGTAAACAAATAGCCACATTGTTACAACGGAAGACTTTTGGTGCTCACTTTTTAATTGGTAGACTTTGGCCCCAAGCAGCTCTATACCTCTCCCTCAGGATTAGGTGCTTAGGTTTTGAAACAGATCATTTTCTTATAGTTCAAAAGTCTTTTCAACTTTGACCTATTCTTGGTTTTATGCTTTTCTTGTGTTTAAAGGCAGACCATACTTAAAAACTGACTACCAGATAAATGGGGCTTTTAGAGAAGTTAGTAGGATGAAAGAGGTGTTTTCTATTACCTGGGATTCTTCAACATGGACATTTACCATGAAGCAAAGTAATAGTTTACTCTTTTAAACTGGATGTTTGCTATCTTTATGTTAATGATTACGACTCCCTGTGCCTGTGGGCCATGACCAGTCTTCTCTGATCTGCAATGAATTTTAGTTTTCCTTTGTAACATTTCTGAGAGGAGATCTCTGTGCCTTTTGAAGAAAAACTCTTAGGGTGAGAGAAGAAGGAGTAGGTAGGTGGGCAGATAAATGAGAGGACATCACAGGAAAAGAACCTGGTAAGGTCTTTGCAACAGGGCGTCAAAGTTTAGAATCTTTTTTAGAATCTTATGAAAGGTTGTGTTTTCCTTACAATTATTTTTAACCTGGAAATATTTTGCAGCCGAATTTGCCATGTACTGATAACGTAGCATTCGATATGGAAAGGCTCACCAGAACCCAAGCTGTTAACCGAAGATCAGCCCTCGGCGACCTCGCCGGCGACAACTCCCTTGGCCTTGAGCCACTTCGAACTTCGGGGATCTCACCTCTTCCTCAGGATGGGGAGCTCACTCCGAGAACAGGAGAAATCAACATTGCAGTAACAAGTAAGTGGGGGCCTCCGCTCAGGCACAGGGCATGTGGCTGCCTATGTGGGCATTCGGGACCATCAGGAGAGTCAAGGCACTCGCCTCAGCCTGCAACACAGACTGTAACCAAGAAAGTGATGTGTGTTGCTGTTAAAACAGGTATTTGGAAGAATGAAACTTTATTTATGATAAGTAGCTGGTGTGTTTGTGTATAATTAATAGGAATAGCTGCATTTGATGAGTAGCTGTTCAGAGGTCTGTCTTAGTCGCTGTTTTATAAACCTTGTTTTGAAATCATTGCATTACAAACAGGCATTTAAAGGGAGATGTTGGAAGGTGACACAGTCCCCCAGCAGTATTGCTGGTGTGTTGTATGCTGTGAGCGCTCGTGCTCTCCACCTCCGGGGCTACAGGCTACTTAGTGGGAAACTCATCTAGAACTTGAACCTAAAAATTCACAGTTCTTGGAACATAGCCTGTTGCGCACTTTATTTTACATTTTTTATGGAAGTTTGGTCTCTTGGCACTTAACTCTTTGGTGTAGTTGTACATGAGGTAGGAGAAAAGCCAAAGGACAATCTGCCTGAAAAAAAAATACCGTGAGCTAGTTATGAACGTCTTCACATTGCACTGTCGACTAGCAGGAAAGAAATGCTGAGTGTATTGATGGCGGTGCCTCAGGACGGTGTGAGTGAGCTGACAGCGTGTGTGTAGGCATCATAGACATTCAGCCCTCAACAAGCCAGCTCTTCTCTTCGCTTCCATTCTCTACATGTTCCTTTCATCTAACAACCTTTCACCCATCTTCCTGGTTGCTGCTCTGCTGTTGCCTTTCCCAGCACCTGCTGCTGCTTGCCTAGCACGTCACGCCCTGAGGCTCGTGGGACCCTTCTCCAGTCTGGGAGTCAGTGAAATGGATGACACTGTTACAAAATGTTTCTCCTCACATGTTAAGACTCGTGTGGTCTGTTCAATCAAAGTATTCATGTTTTTAACCAACCAGACATTATTATTAGAAAATGATTGCCCAGGTTGTATTCTGTCATCTGTGTAAACTCAGGGAGGCTTCATTCAGCTATGCAATAGAGAAAACTGTGCTTTGAGTGTAGTTTGGCTCATTTCTCACCATCTCTCGATTCGTTTAATAGCATTTCATGGTTTTCTTACTTTGGCGTTGAGGTTTTATGGTCTACAGTTTTAAAACTTGATTGAGTAGTAATAAAGGACACAAAGGTTGTTGGTTTATTAGTGAGTTTTTCAGGTCCTTCATTGATCAAACATTTATTGAGCACCTACTACTTACTACATTAAGTACTGATCCCATTACATTTTATGTAGAAATGTCCTTTCAAAATCTTATACTTTGATGAAAAAAAGTTACTTCATATACCAAATTAATCACCTTTAGCAGAATTTGCACATGATGTTAATAAATAAAACCCACGTGATTGAACTAAACCACAGCTACCTCTGCTTTCCCTCCGAAGCCCTGGGCACCGTAGCAACCACAGTGCCTCCCGCTGGCACCCACTGTGTGCCAGGCACTGTGCTAAGTAGGCACTGGGGGCAGAGGTAGCCAGGCCGGCTGCAGGGGGGCACTGTGGAAATGCTGCCAGCATATTGGGTGTTTTATGATGGTGTTTACTTCCTTTTGTTACTAGTTTTTAAAATTGCAATCACACACACACAAAGACATGCAAATACGGGATGGTAGACTCAGAATTTGGAAGCATAGATGTGACGAAGTTCTACAAGGTAGTCTGCATATCATATATAAAAGTCTCCAAGAAGAAAAAAGAGGATACTGTGTTAAGTTCCTTGATGATGATGACATTCGGCTCTTGATTTTTATAAATGCCATATACATTTTCCCTAACTTAAAACATTACAGGTAAAAATGGTGGGTTTTATATGTGTTTTTGAATGTTCATGCTGATTAAATAAAAAGCTTCAATCTACTGATGAGGAAGTTTGTAATTTGAGAGGCCGTGGCTGCACTGGTGTCTAAAAGATAGGGGTTTACTAAGCATTTTAATAACACAAGCTAAGGTGGGCAGAGAAATGCTCCTAGAGCACTCTCTGGACCGGAAGTCCCCAGGAGCAGTGCTGCGTGACCTTTTGAAAGTCACCACCTTTAAAATCTAACAAAAGTATGTTTTTCTAGAAAAATGCCTATGCACACACAATTCTGCATGCAGGGTTAGGATTTGTGGAACCCAGATTGAGAAACACACATGCTGTATACAGCTTGTGCATAAAACATTTGGCAGTCCACGTGTAAAGAGTTCTCTCTGCCTTCTTGCACATATATAGGTAATTTTATTGTATAACATTTTGTTAAAACAGCCCTAGTCAGTGTGTACTCAAAGAAATATTTTATAGTTAAGACTTTTTAGCAAGTCAGATTGGTTCTTAGGTTGTTTTAGAGGTTCTCAATAAATACTGTTTTTAAAATGTTACCTTGACAACATAGGCTCTGAAAAGGTAAAGGAGAATATCTGGATGGAGAGAGAGAGACAGTCTAGTAAACATCCTTATTGTTGTAAGCACCAGAGGTTTTCAGCTCTGTGGTGGCCAAGTACCCGGTCAGTCGCCCGCCCCTCCTACTTGTGCTTGTCACAGCCTGGACAGCCAGTGCTGCTCCTCGGCAGGGGTTGGGAAGAGTAGTTTCTACTTTCTTGAGACACCAGTGAGATGTCCTTTTTACGTAAATATCCTAAGTAAGCCCATGCATAAGAGAGAAGAATGTAGCCATGGATGCCATGGGAGGCCGGCTCGCAGACGGCTGGGAGCACCCACAGGACCTGGAGAACTGCTGCTCCGTGCTCCTCAGCCTTTGACTAAGAATGAAAGCCCTGCAGAAATGACAGAATGAAGAAGGAAAGAAGGTTATAAATATGCTTAGTCTACTTTACTGTCATTTACATTAACAATGAAAAAAATCTATGTCCTTGTGCAATTTTATATACATATTTTCACCGCACACTTTTTGGTGGCTACACTCCTCACAGACCTCAGGACCTAAATGGAAGAAATGGTTGAGCCATGCTTTCCTTTCTCCCTTGCAGCTTTCACCAGTACTTCCACTAACCTTCTCCAGTTAGTAGCTCTCTGGCAAACCTCCTGCTTCACTTCCTTGGGCCAATCTTGGCTTACACCTCCGTTGACGTCTGCTTCGTTGCATTTGAGGGAAATGTTGGCATCGATTTGACTTAAACCTTCTCCCCAGAGTGATTTCCTCCCTTTCCTTTGTCAACAGAAGAATGGTTTATTATTGCCAGTTTTGGCCTCCTCAGTGCCCTCACACTCTGCTACATGATCATCAGAGCCACAGCTAGCTTGAATGCTAATGAGTAAGTAACAAATTGTTTTTGGATTGCATGTGCCAGATGATCCCAGGAAAACACATGGAGCAGTTTTCATGAAGGTGGTGAGAACTGGCTTTCTACCAGTTTCATACGGATCCTGATGGGATCGTATCTAGCAAAATACTTTATTTCATGAGCATATATTTTTAGTCAGTAACACAGATTGGGAATTCACCTTATTCAACAAGAGCAGCCCGTTTGAGAAAAGATCCAGAGGTTTTCATTAGCCACAGGCTTAGAATGAATCAGCAGTGTAATGCAAGTGGCAAAGGAGCAGTATAGTCTTAGAGTGTAAAAGGCTGTCAGCATCCTCATCGCTGATGGGAAGAGCCCACTTTGCGTTCATCACACACATCTGGAGCCTGGCATGTCTAGCTTCTGGGGAAGCCCCGGCGGCCGTGCCTGTGGTCAGGACCAGTGCCTTGGGTACTTGGCCTGCAGGAAAGAAGCAGTTTGAAAGACCCGCTGTTTCCAGATGTTAGGACAGCTGTGAGGAGGAAGAGAAAATAAGTCTAAGCGCTATCTCCATGGGCAAAATGGCGACCAAAGAGCAGGCTCCATGACGGCAGGCTTCACGTCGGTAAAAGGAAGGACGTCTGTCGGTGGGGTTGGTTAGTGGCGGGATGGTTTGCTGTAGGGCACGCTCAGGACTGGGAATGTAGGCAGAGGCTGGATGTCACTTGTCAGGGGTGCTGTAGTGAGGTGTTTTGAGAGGATGGAGGATTGGGCTAGATGACTGTTATGGTCCATTTTGATCCAATGCTGTTCCAAGAGTAGCTTTCCATAGGGATAAGGTATAGAAAGGGTTTTTTTATTTTTGCTTTGTTTTGTTTTGTTCTAAATTTTGGACATTTACTGAGGATATCGTTCAGTCCTTTCTTTTACCAATATTCATGAAAACTAATTAGAGATGAAAGCAACCCTGGGGTCCTGCCCAAATTTGAACCTAGGTTGATATGGGTGGAATTCACGTGATCTCCATATTCAATTACGTCCTGATACTTTAATTGATGAGTAATAACCAAACTGATTACCTCATGCAGTTGATGTAATTGACTGCCCATTGTCTGGCTATAGAAACTGTAATTGACATCTATAGAAACAATGGGCAAGTGGCCTCCACTTGCAGTGGCATGTGTTATTCAATCTAACCTCATCTGGGGCTAGATACTTGGAAGAAGTGCCCCCTGGCATCTGTGAGCCATACATGTTGAGGCTCACAGATGTCAGGGTCGGGTGGCATTCCCCAGCCTTCAGAGGAGCACTGCACCTCATCCAGCAGGTGAACCACTAGCTGCTGCTGTTGGCCACCCAGGCAGTTTTCCTTCAGCATGGCGCACCTAATTCCTTAGACTCTAGGTCACACACACCTGGATTTGACTCTCAGCTCCTCCGTTTTTCAGTTGTAAGACCTGGGCAGTTATATTTATTTGAAGCTCCTTGTAGTCATTCATAAACAGATAATGCTAGGACCATATCGCAGGGTTGTTATGAGAATCAGCCTATAAAATGCTTAGCACAGTGCCTGGTACATAAGAAGTGCTCAATAAATGTTAGCCAAGCCAATGCCACTGCAGTGCCATTGAAGTTGTGTGAGTCAGATGACCATCTGCCTTTATTGTCTGGGAAGTGAATTTAATTTCTTCTGTGAAGTGGGACACAGTACCATAGTAGCTCTGTGAGTAGCTGTGATTCAAACCTGAGTTTAGAGGGAAACACTTATTTCACCCACAGCCACCTCTTTTGCTTATTCCCATGCTAACCCATCAGGCAAGATAGTAATACAAGCCTACTTCTTAAAAAGTTCACAAATGAGTGATAACCAGTACAAGCAAATAATTACACTAGGCACTTTTCGAGAATTATTGGGTAGTTTAATAGTCACCTGACTGCCACTCAGAATCTGTCTGATGTTCAGTTCATGCATCAGATTAAAATGAGAGTGCTCAGTAGACATGTTACCTATTAGAAATCATAGTATGTGGGCCGTAATATTTTAGTTCCATGCCTAAATACCTGCATGACTCAGAATCTAAGTCATGGATCTTAGATCCATGCCTTACTTAGTTCAACCCTTCTCCCATTAGCAGTTGTAGAGGGTTGATTTCACAGTTGCTCATTTGGTTATTATTTCTGTGCCTTCAGTCAAAACCACCGAAGGACAATATTCATGATCCCATTTAGAGAGAAAAATGGAGAGAGTGTGTGTGTGCGTGCATGTTGTGTATGCACGCATGTGGATACGAGCAAGGATGCTCACCAGAATGTGGTGATTATCTTACTTTAGAATCTGGGGCAACGTCTTCTTCAATTTGTGCTTTTATGTGTTGTGTTTTTTTTTTTTAACAGTAAGCATGAATTACTTAATCTTTTTAAAGGCAGTTTTTATTGTGGCAGATGATAGGAAAGATAATAGTACTCTTACCCAATGTCTTTTTCTCAAAAATATCAATGAAAAATTCCTACTGATTTTATTCCAGAGAAAAGTTTATTTTAGCAAACAAATTTGTAATTATTCGTTATTAATGAATTTTTCAACATCTATTTTATTTCTGTTTTTGCCTTTATCTACCAATAAACTTACAACCAAAATAAGATTTTTTTTTTTTTCACCTTAATTGCCCTGGCTTAATTTTCTGGGTAACCTCATCCATTTGTAAGATAGTCATATATAAATAGATTTCATCTCTTGGCATTTTAATGACTGTCCAAAAATTGATACTAAACTCCACCTCTATGCATATACCTACTAGAATAGTTTACCTTTCTGGCAGTGTTACTAGTCACTGTTCTTGTATATTACTGTTCAAGCAAGTCCTTGACCCTGTCTACTCACTGTTGAAACCCTGTGGGCAAGATGTCAGGGCAGTGTGTGGGACCCAGGTGGTCTAGGGCCCCCTGTCATGGGTGGGTTGCTAACTACACAAGGAGGATCCCCACAAGGGGTGCAAGCCCCCATCCCTTCCTCACCACGCTCGGTGCATTGACCAAGGGCTTCGTGCTGTTGGCTTCAATCAGAAGTCCATCAAAAAGCCCTTGTGTTTGGAGTCACTGCCCTTCTGTTATGATGAAATACTGTTTATTTAGTACTGCGACTGATTATACATTAAATTTTTTTAACACTGCAAACAGATCTGGTAAATTTTGAAACTTTGCAAATATAAACAGGATGGTAGTCAAAGAAGTGAATAAATGCAAGGTAAATATATTTACATATTGGCTTCTCACACCTCGGTTTCTTAGTACCTAGGTAAGCGAGGTTACTGAATTTCAATTCCCAAAAGAGGTCTTCTGCTCTACTTGGCTATTCATATAAACCTTGTGAAATGTCAACATTTACCAACTGAAATTTGTGTCACTCTAGTTTTCCCTCAAAATAAGAAAAATAAATATTTTTATTATTTTTATTTGAGGAACATATACAAATGTGTAGTAGAGATTTGAAGTTTAGTGGGAGGCGTGACTAGGTATCCCCTAGAGCCCTTTTCCCATTGCTGGATTCTGATTCATAGAAATCACGTTCTAAGATTTGCAGAGAACGGTAGCTCATTATTCAAGATTCAAAAAAATCTTGGCATGAGGAAATGAATCTGAAGTGGTAAAGGTGACGAAATAACTAGAGCAAATGATCCAGTGGCATGACCGGAGATCAGGAAGCCCTGGCTTCTTGTAGCAGGTCCACCAGAAAGCTCCCGGTGATCTTCCTCCTCTTAGTGTAGTAGTAGAAATTTATATATATAAACTCCTTTATTTATACAAAAAGAATGATGTTTCTATTTTACTCTCAGTATTTCTGAATTATTTTGCTCAGTACTCTTTTTTTTTTTTTGAGACGGAGTCTCGCTCTGTTACCCAGACTGGAGTACAGTGGCGCCATCTCAGCTCACCACAACCTCCACCTCCCGGGTTCAAGAAATTATCTGCCTCAGTCTTCTGAGTAGCTGGGATTACAGGCACCCGCCACCACGCCCAGCTAATTTTTTTGTATTTTTAGTAGAGATGGGGTTTCACTGTCTTGGCCAGGCTGGTCTTGAACTCCTGACCTTGTGATCCACCTGTCTCGGCCTCCCAAAGTGCTGGGATTACAGGCTTGAGTGCTCAGTACTCTTTTTAAGAGGAATATTGAGAAACTAGCACACTCAGCATAAAAGGGTCTGAAAATTTAATTATTTGATGTCTTGGGGATGCTTGGTTTGGAAGAGAGGGGACCGGGTAAGATGAGAGCTGTTTCCAGGTGTTTGAAGGACTCTTAAAGATGAGAATAACAAAGATGAGAATAACTACTGTTTATTGAATGCCTACCAAGATCTTAGTCCTGCACTGGTCTCTTTTACCCGTATTGCCTGGTTTAATACTCAAAAGAGCCTCATGTTGACTAACCAGTGCATACAGAGTGATGCTTACTCTGTATTTCTGGAGCTCTGGCGATATCTACAGGGAGGCAGATTTCCACTTGATATAAGAAAGAACTTTGTGGCCTGGCGTGGTAGCTAACACCTATAATCCCAGCGCTTTGGGAGGCTGAGGTGGGCAGATCACCTGAGGTCAGGAGTTCAAGACAAGCCTAGCCAACACGGTGAAGCCCCATCTCTACTAAAAATATGAAAATTAGCTGGGTGTGGTGGCAGGTACCTGTAATCCCAGCTAAGGCTGAGACAGGAGAATCACTTGAACCTGGGAGGCGAAGGTTGCAGTGAGCCGAGATCGCCCCATTGCACTCCAGCCTGGGTGACCAGAGTGAAACTCTGTCTCAAAAAAAAAGAAAGAAACAACTTTGTAGTAGTTAAAATTGTCCGTCCAAAACACGGGACACTTTGAAAGCTAGCGAGCCTGCACCAGGACCTGATTCTTCAGACAGAAGCTACAGGATAGACCTGTTCACAGGCCGACCTCAGATCAGGTAGAAGGCTCTGAGATGCGTCCTGTGCTGAGGGTCCCTCTTGAATTGTTCCTAGGAGGGATCAGAGGCCGAGGAGAGCTGTTGGGTTCTCTTTCAGTTACCTCTTTTAGAACCTTAAATATCAAAAGCAGTGTTTTTCAGACTTTCTAAAAACCATCTTCCTACTGTAAGAGATACATTTTGTGTTGTGACCCAGTACTCCCATGTGTAACTGAAACAAATTTCACACACTTCCCTGACTGCATGCAGTATTCTCTGATGTAGTCAGTCCTGTGCCTTGTTGTTAATATTAGTCGTTAACTCCTAAATTGATGGTATAACCATTAATAGGTTGTATGCTTTAGTTTTGAGAAACACTTGTCTAAAGAATTTTGAATTTGGCCGGGCGCGGTGGCTCACGCCTATAATCCCAGCACTTTGGGAGACCGAGGCGGGCGGATCACGAGGTCAGGAGATCGAGACCATCCCGGCTAAAACAGTGAAACCCCGTCTCTACTAAAAATACAAAAAATTAGCCGGGCGTAGTGGCGGGCGCCTGTAGTCCCAGCTACTTGGGAGGCTGAGGCAGGAGAATGGCGTGAACCCGGGAGGCGGAGCTTGCAGTGAGCCGAGATCCCGCCACTGCACTCCAGCCTGGGCGACAGAGCGAGACTCCGTCTCAAAAAAAAAAAAAAGAATTTTGAATTTTTAGTTCTCAACCTGATAACCTTTTGCTCACACAGCCCGTCTTGTAACAATTCCAGAAAAGATTTAAAATTAACCTCTGTTTGAGGTGTATTGCTGGATAGTGGATCCTTTTCTTTCTCTTGGTATTTATTCTCCTTGTAGCCAATCTGAGTGTGAGATATATGTACACAAAAGAATAAAGTAGGGCTTCGAGGGATTGAGTGACTCTGAAGGGATGCCATAGGAAGAAGGCCACTGGAATTCAAACCCAGCACCTCTGGTTCCAACCTTTTCCTTTAAACTGCTTGCATTTGACTACTTCAGAGAGGAGGATAGTGCCAAATAATGTGGTTGAAGGAGACAAATTTGGTTTCCTAAAAATGCAGTTGCAACATGAGTATTAAAGGCAGTGGGAACTTGCACTTCTCTGCTCTCTTTGGCAGTGGTTATTATTTTGCTTTATTTTATTTATTTATTTGAGACAGGGTCTCGCTCTCTCACCCAGGCTGGAGTACAGTGGTGGGATCTCGGCTCACTGCAACTTCTGCCTCCCAGGTTCAAGCAGTTCTTCTGTCTCAGCTTCCCGAGTAGCTGGGACTAGAGGCGCCTGCCAGCACCCCTGGCTAATTTTTGCATTTTTAGTAGAGATGGGGTTTTGCCATGTGGGCCAGGCTGGTCTCAAACTCCTGACCTCAGGTGATCCACCCACCTCAGCCTCCCAAAGTGCTGGGATTACAGGCGTGAGCCACCAGGCCCAGCCTATAATTTCTTTAAGAGGCAACAAGATAAAGTAGATTTGAAAACTAAATTACCCCTAAAAATTCTTTATATCTAATATCCAGTTTTTCTGAGGAAATATTAGAAAATGTGTTACCTTAAATAGGAACTACAAGAAATAATAAGGTACAGAACTTTATGTGAAGTTGTGAATATCCTTTATACCAGAGGTTTTTCAAAAAAGTTGACAACGCCCCCTCATTCATTGAGATGCTGTTTCCCAAGTAGGCTCCCGGGCTTGTGCCAAGCACGGGGCTCGCAGTGCTGAAGGTAATGGAGACCTGGTCTGGCCCCGCCAGAGCTCAGGGCTATGCCCTCATGTGCGTACTGATGTGGCTGGAGAGTGAGGGAGTACGCAAAGGCCCTTCTGGGTCATGCCTGCGGAGCTGCCGCCTTACCTTTGGGGGAGCTGAAAAGGCTGCATGGAAGAGTGACTTAGGAACCAGCCTGGGCATAATTAGGGCACACAGTGAGGACCGCACAGAGCAGGATCAGCGAGTTGTGTGGTTTGGTGTGTCTGCTGTAGGTGGTGGTGACGGTAGGCAGGAGACAGATTTTGGACTTGATTCTTATAAAGAGCTGGTAATGGGCTCTAAGGCCTTTCAGCAGAGAGATATTCCTAGTGGCTGCGAAGTTGCTTGCTGTGGTAGGGCATGAAGGCAGGAAGATAGATTAGGTAAAAATAGGGAGTTGAAGGAGCAAGTCAGGGTGGCGAGCAGGAGCTGAAATCAGGAGTTGCTAGAGAGTTGTGTAATAACCAAAGCTTATATGGTTTGAAGCAGAGATCTGGAGCTCAGCAGAAAGAAAAAGATCAACGCTAACAGCTTGATTTGGGGACCCTGGAAATGAGCAGGAATCCAAGGCATCAGAAAGCCAGGACAGCCCCACAGCACAGGGCTGCAGAGAGGGCAGCAGGAGCTCGGGCAGCGCAGGGGCTTGTCAAAAGGTCATAGGCTGTTTTTACACCTGATGCAAGGACAGAAACACACACAAGGTCTGGAGGATTCCTGTGAGACAGCCATACATCCCTATCACTTCAAAATAAGTGAGGACATTCTTGTTTGAGAGGTAAGAGGAGCATTTTTTAAAGACAACAGCGGCAGATTTCAGCACCCTCAGCATTCAGAACATGTGTTTAAACCAGGAAAAATTGTAAATTGTATGATAATTGTCCCTGTGTATTTAAACAACACGCCATGGGCCTGACCTTTTCCTTCATCCTTTTGGGAGTATTAAAGCACCTCTAAGATGGATGAGTCAGTCAACTGCAGATCTGAAACTGCTGATTTTGGGAAAACACTTAATGGCTTCCTGGCCTTACCAGAGGGGTTGGGAACTAGCTGGGGACAGCCAGGCCACCCTTCAGTTAGGGTCACTTCTCTGTTATTTTAAACATTTGACTACTCTTTAATTTATGACCTCTTTTTTCCTTTTATTCCATAGGGTAGAATGGTTTTGAAGAAGAAAAAACCTGCTTTCTGACTGATTTTGCCTTGAAGGAAAAAAGAACCTATTTTTGTGCATCATTTACCAATCATGCCACACAAGCATTTATTTTTAGTACATTTTATTTTTTCATAAAATTGCTAATGCCAAAGCTTTGTATTAAAAGAAATAAATAATAAAATAAAAAGTCTGTGCTGTTGAGTCTTATTAACCAGACCTGTGTTTTGAGGGCTGATTTGAAGCTCGCAGACCCAGATTGCATTTGTTTGTGTTTCAGAGACAGAATGTGCTCCTGGCTCCCGTGAGAGGAACAGGGATTGACACTTACTATTGGTGTCTTCACATTGGCTCCTACCCACATAGGGCGCAAGAGCGGGGACATCCTGCTGGTGATGCCGCTTAGGATGGTCAGTTGATTTACTCATTCTTCAAGGGGGACATTCACTCTGTGATAATTTCTTCTCTGTGGTTGATCAGCCTCCACCAGAGCTGCAGCACCCCCAGCAGCAGGGACTTGTAACATTTGCTCCCCACTGTGCCCCTGCACCCAACAGAGTGCTTTGCACATCGTAAGTGCTCAATAAATATTTGTGGAATGAAGGAATGAGTGTCAAAATGATTTTCCAAACCACATCTAATTAGTAATAAATTATTACCTACTTTGTATTCTTGTAAAAACAGCAAACTCAAAAAAGTAGGTGAGAGCGATTTTACATGTGCCGGTGAAATACTTTTGCTTTACTGATGAGGAGAATTTCAAAATACTTTGTTACATCGAATTATATGCTTGAAGGATTTTCAGTATTTGTAAATGTTTGCAGCAGTGAATTCTTAATCTTCTACCTCAGCTTACCTGAGGAGTGAGAACGTATTCCTATTGAAAACGGGTTCACTCCAGTAGTCATGCTCAAATCAGCAGGGGGCTGAAAGGATTTTTGCAATCAAAATGTAATTCACATGCTATAAAATTACCCGTTTAAAGTGTGTATTTCAGTAGTTCTTAGTATAGTCACACAGTTGTGCAACCATCACCACTATCAGATTCCAGAACATTTTCATCACCCCGTAAAAAACCTCATACTCAGTAACTTCTCACCCTTGCCAGCCCTGGAAACCTGGAAATCTACTCATTGTTTCTATGGATTTGCCTGTTCTGGGCATTTCATGTAAATAGAACCATATAATATGTGGCCTTTTGTGTCTGGCGTCTTTGACTTAGCATGTGTTCACGGTTCATACATGTTGTAGCATGTGTCAGAACTTCTTTGTGTGGTTAACACTCCATAGTATAGATGTACCACATTTTGTTCTGCTGATGGACGCTTGACTTGTTTCCGCTGTTCGGCTGTTATGAATGTTGCTGTGAACATTCATGTACAAATTTTGGCCTGAACATATATTTTCAGTTCTCTTTGATATGTCCCTAGGAGTGCAGTTGCTGGATTATGTTATAACTCTATGTTTAACTTCTTGAGAAGCTGCCAAAATGTTCTTCAAAGCAACTGCACCATTTTGCATTCTCACCAAGAGAGTATGCGGGTTGCAATTTCTTCACAACCTCCATAACACCAGTGACTGCCTGTCTTTTTTCTTATAGATGTCATAGTGGGTGTGAAGGAGTTGTCTCATGTTTTTAACATGCATTACCCTAGTGACTGAAGATGCAAAGCATCTTTTCATGTGCTTTTTGGCCATTTTCTATTTTCTTTGGAGAAATGTCTATCCCGGTGCTTTACCCATTTTTAAATTGGACTGTTTTTTGTTGTAAGAGTTCTTTGTATGTTCTAGATACTAGGCCTTTATCAGATAGGTCATTTGCAAATATTTTCTCACATTCTCTAAACTATTTATTCACTTTCTTGGTAGTGTCTTTCAAAGCACAAAGTTTTAAATTTAGATGAAGTTGAATATGTTTATTTTTCCTTTGGTTGATTGTACTTTAGATGTCTAAGAATGTATTACCTAATTTAAGGTCACAGAGACTTCTAAGAACAATATAGTCTTTGCTCTTAACTTTTAGATCTTTGATGATCCATTTTGAGTTAATGTTTGTATACGGTGTAAGGTAGGGGTGTTACCTTCATTCTTTTGCATGTGGATATTCAGTTTTCCCAGTGCCATTTGTTTAAGAGACTTTTTTCCTCCATTAAATGGTCTTGGCACCCTTGTCAAAAATCAATTGAGAATGACATATGAGTTTATGTCTGGACTCTGAATTCTTCCATTGGTTTCATAGTAAGTTTTGAAATTGGGAAGTGTGAGTTCTCAAACTTTGTTCTTTTCCAGGTTTGTTTTCTTTATTCAGGGTCCCTTGCATGAATTTTAGAATCAACTTCTCAATCTCTGTAAAAAAAAAAAAAAGCTAGGATTTTATAGGGATTGCACTGCATATGTAGATCATTTTAGTTAGCATTGCTGTCTCAACAATATTGTCTTCCAACTCATGAGCATGGGATATCGTTCCACATGTTTAATTTCTGTAGAACTATGATTAATTTTTCTACATTGATCTTTTATCCTACAACATTGCTGAACTCATTTATTCTCATATTTTTTTGTGGATTCCTTGGGCTTTTCTGTCTACAAGATCATGTCATCTGTACATAGAGATCATTTTTCTTCTTCCTTTCCAATCTGGATGCTTATTTATTTTATCCTCATGCTTAATTGTTCTGGCTAGAACCTCAAATAGTAGATTGTTGAATAGAAATGGTGCAAACAGACATCCATGTGTTGTTGTGATCTCGTAGGGAAAACCTTTCCATCTGTCACCACTGATGATGAAGTTAGCTATTAAGACTATAGACTAGATACCTTTATCAAGTTGAGAAAGTTACCTTCTATTTCTAGCTTATTGAACGTTTTTATCATGAAATAGTTTTTGATTCTGTCGGAAGCTTTGTGTCTATTGGGATGATCATGTGAGTTTGCCCTTTATTCTATTCTATCCTATGAATGTGGTGCATTACATTGATTTTCTTACATTGAACCAATTGTGGGACAAATCCCACTTGGTCATAATGTACAATCCTTTTTATATTTGCTGGATTTAGTTTGTTAGTATTTTGCTGAGGATTTTTGCATCTATATTTATAAGGGATATTGATATGTAATTAATTCTTATCATGTCCTTATCTGACCTTGGTATTATTGTAATGCTGGCATCATATAAACAATTATGAAGTGTTCTTTCCTCTTCTGTTTTTTGGAAAATCTTAAGAAGAATTGTGTTAATTCTTTAGATATTTGGAAGCCATCTGGTCCTGGACTTTTCTTTGTAGGAAGTTTTTTGATTACCAACTCATTATCTCCTCACTTAGAGGCCTATTCAGGTTTTTTATTTATAGTTGAGACAGTTTGAGTCATTTGTATCTTTCTAGGAATTTATCCTTTTTTGTTTTATTGATTTTTCTCTCTTCTATTCTCTATTTCATTAATTTTTACTCAAATCTTGTTTTTTTGTTTTGTTTTTGAGATGTCTCGCTCTGTCACCCAGGCTGGAGTGCAGTGGCACAATCTCAGCTCGCTGCAGCCTTGAACTCCCTGGCTCCAACAATCCTCCTACCTCAGCCTCCCAAAGTGGTAAGATTACAGGCTTGAGCCACCACACCTGGCCTTACTCAAATCTTTATTATTTTATTTCTTCTACTTGGTTTAGGTTTAGTTTTTTTGTTTTTTAAGGTGGAAGATGAGGTTATTGATTTGAGGTCTTTTTTATTTAATGTAGTTGTTTATAGCTATAAATTTCCCTCTGAGTCCTATTTCACTCATTTGTAAATTTTGATATTGTTGTGGCTTTTATTTCATATCTGGTTTCCCCCTGTTATTTCTTCTTTGGCCCATTGGTTATTTAGGAGTATGTTGTTTGAATCCTATGTGTTCATAAATTTCACAAATTTCCTTCTGTTGTAGATTTCCAATTTCATTCTAAATTCAGTTATTGGTTGGAGAACATACTTTGTATGATTTCAATCATAAATTTATTAAGGCTTCTCTTACGACCTAACATGGTCTATCCTGGAGAATGTTCCATGTGCACTTAAGAATGTACATATTCTGATCGAGACCATCCTGGCCAACACGGTGAAACCCCGTCTCTACTAAAAATACAAAAAATTAGCCGGGCGTGGTGGCGGGCGCCTGTAGTCCCAGCTACTCGGGAGGCTGAGGCAGGAGAATGGCGTGAACCCGGGAGGCGGAGTTTGCAATGAGCCGAGATCGCGCCACTGCACTCCAGCCTGGGCGACAAAGCGAGACTCCATCTCAAAAAAAAAAAACAAAAACCTATTCTGCTCTTGTTGGATGGACTGTTCTGTAGACGTGTGTTAGGTCTAGTTAATCGTGTTGCTCAAATCTTATCTTGTTTTTCTTCTCTGTAGTTCTAGAATTTGTTGGAAGTGAGTATTGTTATCTCTAGTATTGTTGAATTATGTTTCTCCCTTTTATTCTGTCTGTTTTGCTTCATGTAGTTTGGGGCTTTGTTGTTAGGTGCATACGGGGTTGAAGAATGTTTTAAAGCTGCACTGGTTATTCATACACCTCTATCCATTGAGATTCCCTGGTTCAGTGGCCCTCCTCTGAACCAACTCCAGCCAACTCACAATGCCAGAGTTCAGCCGAGCATGTTTGGCCTTATTTTCTAGAGTGGACTCTCTTGTATTGATAGCTTCCTCAGTAAAAAGTTTTTTCCTCTGGTGGTATTTCGTAGATTCATGGTATAGTTCCTCCCCACCTGGTTTCATCTCAGTGGAGATCAAAGCAATTCTTCCTTTTTCTTTCCTTCTCTCCTTATTTAACGGTGATTCATTATTTTCCTTCATCAGCAGTCATCAGAAGATGCTGAAGTACATCAGGAGGTGTAGGACTTTTAATGACAGTGTTACTCTTTCTACTAACTTAATGTGCTTTCTTTTCACATTATTTCAAGTCATAGTATTAAGACTTCAAAAAAATAGATGCTGTTCAAGGCCAGATAGAGAATTTTTGTTAAGAGCTAAGAAGCGAAATGAGTGAATTGATAGATTGGGACTTCCCATCAGTCTTAGGGAACATTTGTCATCTGCCTTTGAAATTTGAACCTGTTTGTGACTTTGAAATTTAACAGACATTATTAATTTTTCATAATTTAATCATGGTCTCAGTAACCATGAAGGTATATTTTGTGTGCACATGTGCATGCATTTGCACCTTAAACATGTATTTTTGTTCCTAAAACCAGAAATACGATTAGTATCAAAATGCAGTTATTTAGGCCGGGTGGGGTGGCTCACACCTGTAATCCCAACACTTTGGGAGGCTGAGGCAAGTGGATCAGTTGAGCCCAGGGATTTGATACCAGCCTGACCAACATGGCAAAACCCCATCTCTACTAAAAATACAAAAATTAGCCAGGCGTGGTGGCAGGTGCCTATAATTCCAGCTACTTGGGAGGCTGAGGCAGGAGAGTCTATTGCTTGAACCCTGGAGGTAGAGGTTGCAGTGAGCTGAGATCATGCCATTTCACTCCATCACCCAGGATGGAGTGAGACTCTATCTCAAGAAAAAAAAAAGTTATTTAATAAGCATGATGCTATCAACTGTCAACCTTAAATAATGAGATTCAGAAAATATCATTAAGTATAGAGTTTGCTCAAGCACAGAGCTGGAGGATGGCCACCCAGGAAAACAGCTTCAAACAAATGGGGTCAGTGTTCCACTCTGGAGAAGTTAAAGTATCATATAGGCAGAGACAGAAGTTTTAGCAAGATTATACCATTTTCCACGTGAGGCTAGTGAGTATGTTACAGTGATCCGATTGATTACAGATTGCTCCTTGAGGAGGGGTGGTGATCTGAGGGGTCTCATCTCTGGTCTTAATTATTTACAGCATTTCTGAAAGGCAGAAGTTGCAGCTGCGTGCCAAGCGACGCAGGCTGCAGAGCCACATTCCTCTGAAGTCTCAGGATAACTTAAAGTTACAACAGCTTTGAGTTATTTAATTTCACACAACTAAGAAGTCAGATTTACAAATAGAAGCAATGTATAAAGTTGAATAATTTTTGTTTACTATTTAAAAAATTCGAGATTAAAATTTAATCTGGTATTTCAGAGTTTTAAACCCTTCTTGGACAAACTTTTGTAATGCAAGAGACAGGTTGTTTTGTCTTTGTTTTTTCTTTCTTTTTTTTTTAAAGTATTTTTCTAGAGTATTTTCAGCCTGGGCAACATAGCAAGACCCCATCTCTACAAAAAAATTAAAAATTAGCTGGACATGGTGGCTTGTTCTTATAAGCCCTAGCTACTCAGGAGGCAGGAAGATTACTTGAGCCCAAGAGTTCAAGGATATAGTGAGCTATGGTTGCAACACTGCACTCCAGCCTGGGCATCACAGCAAGACCTTGTCTTAAAAAAAAAAAAAAATTGTCTGGGCACGGTGGCTCATGCCTGTAATCCCTGCAACTTTGGGAGGCCAAGGCAGGCAGATCACCTGAGGTCAGGAGTTCGAGATCAGCCTGGCCAACATGGCGAAACCCCATCTCTACTAAAATACAAAAATTAGCCGGGCGTGGTGGCACATGCCTGTAATCCCAGCTACTCAGGAGGCTGAGGCAGGAGAATCCCTTGAACCCGGGAGGCAGAGGTTGCAGTGAGCTGAGATGGTACCGTTGCATTCCAGCCTGGGTGACAGAGCGAGACTCCATCTCAAAAAAAAAAAAAAAAAAAAAATTATTCCAAGGAAGCATTGGCCAGGTTGGTCAGAAGTTGATAAGAACGTCACCTGAAGACCCTCCACGGGAAAGCAAGTGCCCCTGATTCTACCCAGCAGCTTAAGGCAGTCTTAGCCTGATAAGTCCATTAAATCACATTTCTCATTGGCTAGCTAGGTTGTCACTTTAGACTTTAAAAATAATTGGTAAAAGATCCTGAAGCTTCCTTGACTTTTTATCTTCCAAATTATTTAGTTATGCCAAGTTCCTTATCAAGACTCTTTTTTTCTCTCTCTCTCTTTTTTTGAGACAGAGTCTCGCTCTATCTATCATCCAGGCTGGAATGCAGTGGCGTGATCTCGGCTCACTGCGACCTCCACCTCCTGGGTTCAAGCAATTCTTCTGCCTCAGCCTCCTGAGTAGCTGGGATTACAGGCGCCTGCCACCATGCCTGGCTAATTTTTGTATTTTTAGTAGAGATGGGGGTTTCACCATGTTGGCTAGGCTTGTCTCAAACTCCTGACCTCAGGTGATCCGCTCGCCTCAGCCTCCCAAAGTGCTGGGATTACAGGCATGAGCCAATGCACCAGGCCAAGAGCAACAAACAGAACAAAGAATAGAGTCCCGGTGAAACAGAGACCACCATTCCAGGTCTGCCATGAAGCTGGGCAGGAAGAAACTGTTAACTGTTGCCAGGGGCTCCTGATCACTTAGGGTGTACCAGGTAGCATGCTGAGTTGTTCACATGTATAACCATTTTAATCTTCGCAATATCTGAATGAGAGAAGATATAGTTGGTTTTCTGTTTTACAAGTGAAGAAAACTGATGGTTCAAAAGGTTCAAGTTTCTTGCCCAAGTTCACTCACCTGCTAAGGGGCAAAGTCAGAATGAGACCCAGGCAGCCCAGAGTCAATGCTCCCAACTACTTTATACCCTCCAGCCTGGAGACAGTTAGACCAGGACCTACTATGTGCACAGCCTGCACCCTAGAGCAATTCAGAGTCTCAGGGTGAAAACGGGGGAAGTGAATGGAGGTAGCTATTTGAGGGCTGAGCTACACAAACACATACACACCCATATTCTTACATGCATATATGGTCTGTGTATATAGATATACTGTATGTATAATATATAATAGCATATTGTGTAGGTATATATATACCATATGCAGTATATATATGCTATATCAATGTATACCTACTATATACTTACATATACACACATATACTTTTGTTTGATAATAGTGTACAATAATAATAGCTAACACATACAGTGCTTAACTGCATGCTAGGTCCTCTTTGAAGCATTTTGCTGCATTAACTCATTAAATCCTTGCAACAACCCTCTTATTAACTCCGTTTTACAGATGAGGAAACAGGCTTGGAGAAATCCAGTAACTTGCCAAGGTTGCCCTGCTGGTAAGTAGCAGAGGCTGGATTTCAACACATAAGCTGGCCCCCAGGGTCTGTGTTCCAAACCCCATTCTATTTGCCTCTTAGAGAAGCTCACCAAGTGTCAGGGGCAGGCTGTGGGGTGTCCTGACCAGTGGCCCCTAGTGTGCAGAGCATGATAGTAGAAAAGGCCAGGAAGTGTGCTGGGCTTGATTTAGGACACAGGTGGGGTGGGTGAGAGACGTGTCCTAGGGCTGGATGGTGATGTTACAGGGCACGGACTTTACTGTGGGCAGCAGTCAGGAGGCCCATGCATTTTGGAAGGTGGCATCTGAATGCAGACTGGTCCTGAAAATAATAAAATAGTGGGGTTACTAAAGATAGAATTGCTAGTTTAAACTGTTTTAATGTAGAAACTGCCTCACCAAACCAGGAGGCAAGAATGGTGAAGACAGTTGTGTCAGTGATGAGAAGATTCTAGAAACCCAGGTATGGAGACTTCCGTGAAGAATTCATTCAGTACAGTAGGGTTGCGTCAGTGTGCACTTGTGCACACTCAACAGTGCATCCTCAGGGAGAGAGGTGTTGAGATCCTGTAAGGAGAGTACTTTATTTGCCAAGGAGTTGAAAAAACAGGTAGAAATAACGGGAGCTAGGGTGGCAACCGGCCCTGAGATCAGCCCGAGGCTAAAGAAAGATAAAGGCAAACCCAGCTGATGAAAAGATCCCCTATGGTGCTGGGCGCGGTGGCTGACGTCTGTAATCCCAGCACTTTGGGAGGCCGAGGCTGGTGGATCACGAGGTCAGGAGATCGAGACCATCCTGGCTAACACGGTGAAGCCCCGTCTCTACTAAAAATACAAAAAAATTAGCCGGGCGTGGTGGCGGGCGCCTGTAGTCCCAGCTACTCGGGAGGCTGAGGCAGGAGAATGGCGTGAACCCGGGAGGCGGAGCTTGCAGTGAGCCAAGATCACACCACTGCACTCCAGCCTGGGCGACAGAGCGAGACTCCGTCTCAAAAAAAAAAAAAAAAATCCCCGGTGGGTGTGCTGTACTGGTCGGTCTGTTAAGACTAAGAAGAACGCTAGTACATTTGTAGAAATTATCCACTTTCTTTACTCTTGTTTCTTTACCTTAAAGTTTTTTTTATAAAAGTCCCTTTTAAGGGAAATGTCCATTGTCTTGCCTGACCAAAGGCAAGCATTTTGAAACGGGGTTTCTCACCGTGGGTCAGGAGGGGGGCCTGACGCGGGCCCTCCCTGTGGGGGCTTCTTTCCTCCTGACCACACACAGACCCCGCGCGGCTATGGCAGGAACAGCCTAGACACATGGACAGTGAAGAGTCACTCAGAATTCGGACGCACGAATGCTTGCTTGCTTTTCAGATCCAGAAAAGTGAGTTTCCAGCATGGGCCTTTGGTCACATACTTACCGTAACTGTAGGGGGTTGCACCCTAGGAGCTTGGGGCTTATAAATACAAGAAACAGTATCGCCCAAATGGCATTTGAAAAGTCCCTTGGAGGACAGCGAAACGCTGATGGGAAGCACAGGGGAACTGAGACTTGCTGAAGGAACGTCAGTCATATGCTTCTGTCACTCACAGCTGGGCAGATGCGGCCGTGGGGAGTGATAGGCAGAATCGCCCCCGCCCCCATTTAAATATCCCTGCCCCCGCCTTTTTCCCTCCGGGCATTTATTGTTGAGTGGGTATAAATGCATGCAGCTCAGGCTCCCACACTCTTCGGGCTGGAATCCCATCTGGAAGCGTGCATGCACTGCCCAGGACAGATGACAGAGTTTCCTGCAGCGGCGCGTAGTATTTAGGTTCCTGCCGAGGCCGGACACCGCTCATAAGCTTAGGGCAAAGCAAATTGAATTTCCATTGTCCCTCTGGAGTCTGTCACCTGCACCTCCGATACATTCAACACACAAGCCAGCATCCTCTCAGTGCTTTGTATTGATTTGATCTGCACCTTAGACTGTCCACCGCGGTGTGAGTCCTGCTTGACCTCTCCCAGCCTCTGTTTTCTCACCAGTGGAATAAAAGTCACTGTAACAGCAACGTAGCACTGTGAGGATTGGAAACATGGTGTGTGTGAAAGTACCCGGCGTTTAGTGTTGCTCAGCAATGTTTTCTCTTTCCTTGTATGAAAAGATGAACTGCTCATCAGAGCCCTTTTTAGCACTGATGATAGGAACGCCTTGCTCAGGTACCACTCAGCCCAGAAAAGCCCCCGCCGCTGAGGTTTTGCAGCTGATCTGTGCAGCGTTTGGGTCCATTGGGTCCCACTGTTTTCCCAGGTGCAGTCAGCACACCCTGCAGGGTGTGGGACTGAGCCTTGCTCATCGTAGTGGAGGGAAAGGGGTCACAGGTGTGGGCGAGAACTCCTGCAGCCCTTAGGAAGGCCCAGCCTCACCTCCAGTGGCCGTTCCTGTTTCATATGAAAGCCTTATGTGAAAATACTAGTCAGTTATCACTTTATTTTTTTAACCATGTTGGCCAAACTGGTCTTGAACTCCTGGCCTCAAGCGATCCACCCGCCTTGGCCTCCCAAAGTGGCTGGGATTATAGGCGTGAGCCACCCCACCTGGCCCAGTTATAACTTTCAACAGGTGCAGATACCATTAAGCCCAAGGCATTAGTGATAAAATAAAGCTTTGCCACGTGTGAGCAAATATATGTGCCTTATCTGGAAACAGGGCCTGCTGTCATGCTAGAAATAATGCAGAGAAATTAGGAGGAAAGGGGACTAGCAGGGGTAGGAGCCCCTTTCACAGAGCCAGACACGTTACCCCTGTAGCCCTACTCCATGTGAACTTTTTTTTTTTTTGAGACAGGGTCTCACTTTATCACCCAGGCTGGAGTGGTGTGATCATGGTTCACTGCAGCCTCAAACTCTGGGACTCAAGAGATCCTCCCACCTCAGCCCCCTGAGGAACTGGGGGACTGTCTCTACAAAATTCAAAAAAAAAATTTAGCCAGGCATGGTGGCTTGCAAGGAGGCTGAGGCAGGAGAAATTGCTTGAACCCGGAAGGTGGAGGTTGCAGTGAGCCAAGATTGTGGCACTGCACTCCAGCCTGGGCGGCAGAGCAAGACTCCATCTCAAAAAATAAAAAATAAAAAATAAATTGAGAAAATTGGAGCGTTAATTCCGTTAAGGAGATATAAAATATAGATCTGTACATAATTGTTAAGTCAATTATAGGAACACAATGAAGTTTCCATCATGAAAATCTTAAAACTTGTCAGATCCTTTAGTTATTTAATTTATTGGAAATAGCACTGAACACTTAGGACTTAAAATTTATTAGAAATAAGGCTGGGTGCGGTGGCTCACGCCTGTAATCCCAACACTTTGGGAGGCCAAGGCAGGCAGATCACGAGGTCAGGAGTTCGAGACCAGCCTGGCCAATATGGTGAACCCCCCCGTCTCTACTAAAAATACAAAAAGCTAGGCATGGTGGCAGGCACCTGTAGTCCCAGCTACTCGGGAGGCTGAGGCAGGAGAATTGCTTGAACCCAGGAGGCGGAGGTTGCAGTGAGCCAAGATCGCGCCGTTGCACTCCAGCCTGGGTGACAGAGCAAGACTCCGTCTCAAAAAAAAAAAAAAATTTCTCAGAAATAAAGAGAAGTGGTTAGTTACATGGGACCTTTGTAAAGACCTTGAGAAGTTTTTAATTTTAATTACATTTCTATTGCCTTAGAAAAAGTGTATTTTCTCATTTATGTTGCCATTTCTTGAGCAGCATAAGCTCTTAAATCAGTCAACATGTTGCAACTCAGGAATTTTAATCACTGTTAAATATACTTTGCGGTTTAATCATAGCTGCAATCTAAGTTACTTATGAGAATATAAGGCTGAAAGATAACTTGGCTTTGGGTTCAGTTTTACCTGGATTCTAGTTTTAGCTTTATGATTTTGAGTAAGTTATTTTATCTCTCTGAGCCTCACCTTTTCTGTGTATGAAATAATGACACATCTATCTTGCAGGCAGGTTGTTGTGAAAGTATACATGTTACGCCTTTTCCTCTTTATCCCCTTTTTCTTCTAGTTTGAAATTGTTTTAAATTGTTTTTCTGAATAAGTAATAAGTGCACATGGCAAAAAATAAAAATAGTAAAACTGATTACAGTTTAAATAGTAAAAAAGGTTGGAAGGTAGAAAGTCCACGTCAGGCCCTCCCTGATCCCAGTGTCCCAGACCTCTCCTGGCAGTCTCTGTTGTCTGTGCCTTGTGTGTACACTTCCAAAGAGATTTTGTGTCTGTATGAGCATATGATGGTTTCACACACATTCCCCAACAAAATCCCTCCCACACAGTCATAAAACCAGTCACCTATTGGTCAGTGACCTGTCCATTTTCCTTTAGCCCAAAGGAAGACTTTTTTTCTTTGAGACAGTGTCTCGCTCTGTCCCAGGCTGGAGTGCAGTGGCGCGATCTCAGCTCACTGCAACCTCTGCCTCTCTGGTTGAAGCAATTCTCCTACCTCAGCCTCCTGAGTAGCTGGGACTACAGGCACGTGCCACCACGCCCAACTAATTTTTGTGTTTTTAGTAGAGACGGTGTTTCACCATGTTGGCCAGGATGGTCTCGATCTCTTGACCTCATGATCCACCCTCCTCGGCCTCTCAAATTGCTGGGATTACAGGCCTGAGCCACGGCACCCAGCCAGAAGAAAAGACATTTTTGAGGCTCTTCTGTCAAACAAAAAGCCCTATCTTATATCCACAGGAGAGAGTTACACATAACTGGAAATATGTCACCCATAGCAGCAAATTCGCAGAGGATGTTCTAAGAAACATTACAGCATCTCTGAAGAAAACATCACATATTTGAAGTCCAGAAGTCTCAGAAAGGGACTTCACAAATGTACTCTAATGATTACAGTTTAAACAGCTAAGGCTTAGGCTTTCAGTCTTCATAGTAACCTGAAAATTTTCTCCTAAATGGCTTTGCTGTATAGAATTCTGTTCTCTTTTTGCATCCGCATCAACAATTCCCTTTAAAATGTCTAAAATTCTTTCTTACTCAAGGTTGCAGTTTCAAGGCTCAGCTGGGCTTCCACTTACTATTTTCTAGAACTTAATCCAAAAACAGTTACTTAAATTCGAGACTAAGAACATATAATACTATAGATTTTCCAAAAAGAGCATACGGACCATATATTCTTTTTTTCCAAAATTTGGAGATTTTTCCACATCAGTGCATACAGATCTGTCTGCCTCAGTCTCTTTAATATTGATAAATGCATTGTATATTGAATCAGTCCTCAACTGATGAGTGTTTCAGTTATTTAAAACCTTTGTAATCTTCATTAAAGCCGTCTAACTACCATAACTGATGGTACAGAAATAACAACTGCTGGTTAATTTTCAGCTTCTTCATTGTTTCTTGGTGCCAGTGCCCTCTTTATTTCATACTGAGATGGTTCTAAGTGAAACCTATTTGGACACAAATTAGTGACTCTAATTAGAATAGTGTACATCCCACTCAACTCAATTTAATGGAATATTTATTGGCATGATGTGAAGAAACTGAAATAAACTGTATCAGAGTTGTGCCCATGGGGAGTTTATGGTCTTATTGAGAAAGAAAGACATAAAACAGCAAATAGGATAACAGACATAATGAGATTCTTATGTTTTACAGAGACTTGCAGAATGTACTTCTCTATTTCATTTTTTAAATTCCGTTAATCAGTTTCAGTATTCTATTAAGCCTCATTAAGGAAACTCTAAGCCACTGGTAATAAGTTTATCAGGTTTCTCTTTCTGGTAATGTCAGACTAGCTTGTTGTGGTGCAACCATCATATCAAGAAGAACTAGAAATATGGAAAAAGTATTTTTAAAACATTTTATTTTAAGAAATTAAAGAGCTATCAGTGCAGTGATGACTTGAGGAGAAAAGATCCTAGAGAAGAGGGAGGTACAGAGATATGAATCCAGTATTCAACACTACTTTTTTTCTTGTGGCATCTGCCAGTTCATAAGCAGTGACTAGAAAGTGATGGCCCAAAGACCGAGAGAGAAGGAGAGCTCAAGCAGTCTTATTGGGCTTGTGAGATGAAACTCGGAATTCATGGGCCACCAAGCAGAAAGAACCCCGATAACCATCCCAGGCCTTCCATTGGGATCCCCAAAGGGCTACAGCCTGGAACTGGAGGTTGAACCAGAATTTGACTCATCTCAAAGACAGAAGCCCAACTGTGAATCTGTTCAATCTCTAATTAGATTAAAGTGATATGCCCATATTCTAAAAGTGATACGTCACTTCCAGAGGCAATGGGAAGTCCTCTAGAGAAAGGTCACCATCAGCAACGTCAAATTATCTCTGTTTCTTGTATACATGTCCAGCAATCCATTAAAAACCAACCAAACGAAGCAGGCAAGCCAGGAGATAAGACCAAATGACCAAAAAGGAGAAAAAACAAAGAACAGAAATAGATCCACAAGAAATCTAACTATTAGAAATACAAGAACAGACTTTTAAAATAATTAAGTATGTTCAGGAAACCAATGACCAATAAGTGGAAATAACAAAATCAAAAGGAAATGCGAGGACTGAAAAATAATTGAAAGGAAGAACTCAATAGAGAGTTTAACATCAACTTAAACACAGCTAAGAGAGGATTCATGAACTGGAATGCAGGTCAGGAGAGACTATCTGAGCTGAAGCAAAAAAATAAAATGAGAAGAAAAATACAGAAAAAGGCATGAGTCTTTAGATGATGAAAAAATTAATATACATGTAATTCAAGTCATAGAAGGAGAGAAGACAGAGAATGGGGCAGAAGCAGTATTTGAAGAGATAATGACACAATTTTTCAAACCTGACAAAAGACATCAAACTGCAGATTAAAGAAGGACTGGGAACACCAAGCAGAGTGAAAAAAAAACCACACCAAGACATATCACAGTAAGTTATTTTAAGAAGCACAGAAAAACTTAAAGGCAGAGAAAAAGATACTTTATCTCAATTTTTAAAGTTTTTAAAATTGAGATGAAATTCTCATAACATAAAAGTAACCATTTGAAAGTGAACAATTTGGGCCGGGCACAGTGGCTCATGCCTGTAATCCCAGCACTTTGGGAGGCCAAAGCGGGAGGATCATGAAGTCAGGAGTTCGAGACCAGCCTGGCAAAAGAGACCAGCCTGGCCAACATGGTGAAACCCCATCTCTACTAAAAATATAAAAATTAGTTGGGTGTGGTGCCGGGCACCTGTAATCCCAGCTACTCAGGATGCTGAGGCAGGAGAACCGCTTGAACCTGGGAAGCGGAAGTTGCAGTGAGCCGAGATCGCACCCCAGCCTGGGTGACAGAGCGAGACTCCAACTCAAAAAAAAAAAAGAAAAAAAAGAAAGTGAACAATTCAGGAAAGTGAGGAGCCACTGCCAGTGCCACCACCTGCACCCTTGCCCATTCCAACCGTCTGTTAAGCACAGCGGTCACTATGAAGGTCCAGGTGTGCAGACATGCCTGGTCTGAGGATATTAAAACAGCATGTTGGAGAATGACACCGATGTGGCACCCAGATAAAAGTCCTGAGACTAAAGAAGAAGCAGAGAGAAAATTCAGATGAGCAGTGGAGGCATATGAGGCGCTGCTGTCTGATGCTAGAAAAAAAAAAAAGGGACGTTTATGACAAAGAAGGATTAGACAGAGGAAGGAGGTGGAATGCATTTTGACATCCGTTTGAGGTTGATTCACCCTCCATAACTCAGATGATGTCTTCAGGGAATTTTTGGTGGGAGGGACCCATTTTCATTCAACTTCTTTGAAGACCCATTTGAGGACTTTTTTGGGAATCAAAGGAGTCGCCAAGGGAGGGGGTCGTTTTTCTCCGCTTTCAGTGGATTTCCGTCTTTTGGAAGTGGATTTTCTTCTTTTGATGAAGATTTTCTTCATTTGGATCACTAGGTCACAGGGCCTCACTTCATTCTCTTCCACGTCATTTGTGGTAGTGGAATGGCAACTTCAAATCTATATCAACTTCTACTAGAAATGGTTAACGGCAGAAACATCACTAAAAAGAGTTGTTGGGAATGGCGGAGAAAGGGTAGAAATGGGAGAAGACGGCCAGCATAAGGAGCAGCTGCTGCGCTTGCATGCAAAGTCATCGAACAAAAACGTTCAGCTACAGAAGCACCATCTGAGGGTTAACAGGAACATTTTTTTGAATATTTCAAATGAACTCAACTATTGGTAGAATTGTACCTGAAGTATTGATAAACAACTCACAGAGCCCCTATTTGTCATAAACTTTTGAGTTTATTGTTAGGACCACATAATAGGACCACTTTTTTTCTGTCTTAAAAGTTGTTATAAATCTCTGTATGCACTTTTATTTATTTATTTATTTATTTTTGAGACAGAGTCTTGCTCTGTATCCCAGGCTGGAGTGCAGTGGCGCGACCTCAGCTCACTGCAACCTCTGCCTCCCGAGTTCAAGCGATTCTCCTGCCTCAGCCCCCCAAGCAGCTGGGACTAAACATGCCCGGCTAATTTTTGTATTTTTAGTAGAGATGGGGTCTCACCATGTTGGCCAGGCTGGTCTTGAACTCCTGACCTCAGGTGATCTGCCCACCTCAGCCTCGCAAAGTTTTGGGCATTATAGGCGTGAGCTGCTGTGCCCGGCCTGTGTATGCACTTTTGATCCTTGACTCTTTAGTGGTAGGACAAGATTGTACCCTAACGCCAGCATGAATCGGCTTTTCCATTTTGTCTGAAATGTGAGCCATGTGGTGTCAGCCTGCTGTGAAGTTAACATTGCCAGGGTGAGTCTTCTACAGAAATAATTGCAAGGTTTTCAGTAGTTAGTAGTGAAAGGTATTAATGCAATAATGATAATATATTTCTGGTTTAATATAAATTAAGGATGTTTTCTAATTGTGCATGAATGCTGGCAACTTAATTTTGACAATTATTTAAATATATAATGTTAAGCTTAGGTTTTAAAATGTAAAGCTGGTAAACTAGGTCTTTGTTATATGCCTAAAAAAAGAAGAGAAATGAGAATGTGTTTGGTGAAAATAAATGAATAAGTAAGTGAACAATTTAGTGACATTTAGTATATTCACAGTGGGGTGTAACCACTACCCTCTCTAGCTCCAAAACGTTTTCATCACCCCAAAAAGAAACCCCCTACTCATTAAGCAGTTGCTCCCCATTCTGCAATCCCCCCGGCCCCTGACAACTACCAATCTGTGTCCTGTCCCCATGATATACCTGTTCTGGTGCTTCATATGAATTGAATCATGCAAAGTATGTGACCTTTTGTGTTTGGCCTCTTTCACTTACCATAATGTTTTCAAGATTCATTGAAAGGGTTGGGCGCGGTGACTCGTGCCTGTGATCCCAGTACTTTGAGAGGCCAAGGAGGGTGGATTGCTTGAGCACAGGAGTTCAAGACCAACCTGGGCAACGTGGCAAAACCCCATCTCTACAAAAAAATACAAAAATTAGCCAGACGTGGTGCCGCGTACCTGTAGTCCCAGCTACTCGGGAGGCTGAGGTGGGAGGATCACTTGAGCCCGGGAGTCTGGGTTGTGGAGCTGTGATCATGCCACTGCACTCTAGCCTAGGTGACAGAGTGAGACCCTGTCTGTCTCTGTCTCTCTCTCTCTCTCTCTCTCTCTCTCTCTCTCTCTCACACACACACACACACACACACACACACAGATTCATTGAAAGCATATGTCAACACTTCATTTTTTTTATGGCTGAATAACAGTGCATTGTATGTCTACACCACAATTTGTTCATCTCCTCATCCACTGATGGACATTTGGGCTGTTTCCACCTTTTAACCATGATGAACAATACTGTGAACATTGGTTTGCAGGAATCTGTTTGCATCCTTGTTTTCAATTCTTTGGGTTATATACCTAGCAGTGGAATTGCTGGGTCATAGAATTCTAGTTTAACTTTTTGAGGAGCCTCCAAACTCTTTTACACAATGGCTAAACCATTTTACATTCCTGCCAACAATGTATAAGGGTTCTGATTTGCTACCTCCTTGCCAACACTTGTTATCCCCCCTCCTTTTTTAAAATTATAGCCATTTCTAATGAGTGTGAATGGCATTTCATCATGGTTTTGATTTGCATTTCCCTAATGCCTAGTGATGCTGAGCATCTTTTTACGTGCATTAAGTTAGCCACTCATACATCTTCTTTGGAGAATTGTCTGTTAAGTCCTTTGCCCATTTTTTAATCAGGTTGTCTTTTGCTGTTGAGTTGTAAGAGTTTCTTTATACATTCCAGATACTAGGCCCTTATCAGATACGTGATTTACAAATGTTTTCTCCATTCTATAAGTTGTGTATTCGTTTTCTTGATAGCATCTTTCAAAGCACAAGTCTTTCGTTTTGATGATATTTCGTTTTGATGATATTTCGTTTTGATGATACTTCGTTTTGATGATATTTCGTTTTGATGATATTTCGTTTTGATGATATTTCGTTTTGATGATATTTCGTTTTAATGATATCCAATTTGTCTGTTTTTTCATTGGTTGCTTATGCTTTAGGTGTCAAAGCTAAGAAACCATTGACAAATTGGTGGTCGCAAAAACTTCCATCGGTTTTATACTTTTAGAACTCACATTTAGGTATTTGATCCATTTTGAGTTAATATTTTTGTATGGTGTGAAGTAGGGTCCAACGCCATTTTTTTGCATGTGGATATCCAGTTTTCTCAATACCATTTCTTGAAGAGACTGTTCTTTCCCCCACTGAGTGGTCTTGGAACCCTTGGCCATAGATGTATGAGTTTATTTCTGGACTCTCAATTTTATTCCATTAATCTGTATGTCTGTGTTTATGGCAGTACCATGCTGCCTTGTTTACTGTAATTTTATAGTAGTCTTAGAATTGGGAAGTTTGAGTCTTCCAGCTTTGTTTTTCCTTTTTCAATAAAGAGATGCTTTACTTTAAAGTAGCAATGAAAGGCTAACGGTTGGTATCTTGACAGAAACCAGAAAATAGTAAAGTATTGGGAGGAAAAATATCTGCCAACCTAAACATCTAGTGGGGAAAGCCATTGAAAATAAAGTTGGCTAGGTGTGGTGGCTCACACCTGTAATCCCAGCACTTTGGGAGGCTAAGACAGGAGGATTGCTTGAGCTCAGGCGTTCAAGACAAGCCTGGGCAACATGATGAGAACCCGTCTCTACAAAAAAAATTAAAATATAAAATATTAGCCAGCATGGGTCCAGCAGTTTGGGAGTCTGAGGCAGGAGGATCACTTGAGCTCAGGAGTTCAAGACCAGCCTGGGCAACATAGCAAGACCCTGTCTCTACAAAAAATTTTTTTTAATTACCTGTAGTCCCAGCTGCTCAGAGGCTGAGGCCTCAGATTGCTTGAGCCCAGGAGGTCAAGGCTGTGGTGAGCCATGATCGTGCCTCTGCACTCCAGCCTGGGTGACAGAGCGAGACCCTGTCTCAAGATAAGAGAAAAGAAAGATGAAATAAGACATTTTCCAGCAAACAGAAATACTAAGAGCTAGTTTTTCAGGCAGAAGGAAGAGGATTCCAGATGGAAACACGGAGATGCAGGAAGAGTAAAGAGCAGAAAGGAGACACATGTGGGTAACCTAAGTGCTGCTCGATGTGTGAGACGCTGATACTCATCCCTTGTGGAGACCGCTTGACATCAACTGCACAAAAGATGGGAGGGGACAAGTGAGGTAAAACTGCTCTAACATGCTTGCATTGTCCAGGAAGGAGTCAAAGTACTCATTTATATTAGGTTCTAATAAATCAAGGATACGTGTCATAATCCAGGGTAACAACTAAAAAAAAAGTAAAATGATCTCTAGGCCAGCATAGCCACTAAAAGCATTATAAAATAATAATATAATACACTAATAGAGAGAAAACTGTAATAACAAAAAGTCATCCAAAAGAAGAGGAAAAAACTTAGAGGAGAGGACTATAGGACCAGCGAGCCAAGCAGAAAATGAGTAATGTAATTATGGATTTAAGTCCCAACATGTTAGTAATGAATAGAAATGGATAATTAAATACTCAAAGATAGATTTAAAATGTATACACACACACACACACACGTGCTGACATATCTTTAATGAAAAGAAACAAATGTTGAAAGTCAGATGATAGAAAATAAAATGAAAGTAAAATGATAGAGCATCAGACAGATGCTCCCCAGGGATCTAGAAGATTTGAATGTCACAATTAACAGACAAGATGTAATTAACATATATATTTATATAGCCCTCATCAACTACAGGGTATATATTTTTTTAAGTACACATAGATTATTTACTAAGATAGACTTATATGCTGGATGATAAATTTCAATAAATTTAGCAAATTTCAACTAATATTTAAGGATTGAAATCTGTAGAGTATGTTTTCTGACCAGCGGAATTAAGTTATAAATCAATAACAAAAAGATAATTAGAATGATCCCCAAATGTTTGGAATTAAACAATATACTTCCAAAAGAAAAAGTCATGAATCAAAGAAGAAATCGCAGTGGAAATTATTTTAAAATGTTTCATTGAATGCTCATAGAAGTATGACATATCAAAACTTACGTAATTCAGCTAAAGCCATGCTAGAGGGAAATCTGCGACCTTAAATCTCGAAAGCCTAGCGAAAAGTTCGAAGCATTTGTCTCAAAGAACAACAAACTAAATCAAAGGAAGGAAATAAAGATCTTACCTAAATTCAATGGAAAACAAATATACAATAGAAAAAAAATCAACCAAGCCGAGCATGGTAGCTCATGCCTGTAATCCTGGAATTACGTGACCCGGGAGGCTGAGGCATGGAGGATCACATTAAGCCAGGAGTTTGAGACCAGCTTGGGCAACATAGCAAGAAAAATCTCTACAAGAATAAAAATAAAGTAGCCGGATGTGGTGGCGCACACCTGTGGTCTGGCTACTTGGGAGGCTGAGGCAGCAGGATCACTTGAACCCATAAGTTCGCAGTGAGCCATGATGATCTTGCCACTGTACTCCAGCCTGGGCAACAGAGTCAGACCCTGTCCCCACCACCAAAAAAAAAAAAAAAAAGGAAAGAAAAGAAATCAACCAAACACGAAGTTGTTCCTTTAAAATGACGAATAAAATTAACAGGTTTCTGCTGATCAAGAAAGAAGACCCAAATGACCATTATCAGGAATGAAAAGAGACATCACTGCAAAGCCTACAGACATTAAAAATAATCATAAGGTGCAAAGAAGTAGAGTGCAGAGGAGCGATTACCAGGGGGTTATTTAATGGGTGTAGAGTTTCAGATTTGCAAGATGAAAAAGTTCTGGAGATGCATTTCACAATAATGTAAATATATTTACCACGACTGAACCGTATACTTTAAAATGATTGAGCTCTTCCCACCACCTTTCCATGCCGCCAGGCTGCTATGCGCCAACGTCGAGGCTGCTGCTCTCAAGAGCATCCACAATGTCTAAAGGAGAGGCAAACACCAGGTTCTTATTAGGCCGTGCTTCAAAGTCGTCTTCCGGTTTCTAACTGCGGTGATGAAGCATGATTCCACTGGCAAATCTGAAATCTGATCGTCACAGAGCTGGGAACACTGTTGTGAGCTTCACAGGCAGGTTAAACAAGTGTGCCATAATCAGCCCCAACTTGGAGGTGCAGCTCAAAGATCTAGAAAAAATGGCAGAACAGTCTGCTCCCATTCTGACAGTTTGGATTCATTTTACTAACAACCTCAGCTGGCAACATGGACCATGAAGAAGCAAGACAAAAACACACAGGAGGGAAAATCCTGGGATTCTTTATCTAGTGATGTAATACATACTTAAAATTAAAATGCTGCCTAGGTGAATCGCTTGCGCCTAAGAGTTCGAGACCAGCCTGGGCAACATGGTGAAATTCCATCTCTACAAAAAGTAGAAAAAATTAGCCCGGCATGGTGGAGCGTGACTGTGGTCTCAGCTACTCGGGAGGCTGAGGCAGGAGAATCACCTGAGCCCGGGAAGTCAAGAGTGCAGTGAGCCATGATTGCACCACTGCACTCCAGCCTGGGCAACAGAGGAGATCATGTCTCAAAAAAAAAAAAAGTTTTAAATTAAAAAGTAAAATAAAATGCCTCAATGGACAAAAACCACAATAAATAAATAGAAATGGTTGAGATGGCAAATTTTATATGCTTTTTACCACACACTCACACACACACACACACACACACAAATAGGGTTATGAGAACATTGTTAGTAAATTCTGAAAATAAATTGATGATTTTGAAAAATACAAAGTACCAAAATTGATACAGGAAGAAATAGGACACCTAAATTCTCCTACATCTAGGTAATAAATTGAATCCATAGTTTAAAATATTTCCTCAAAGAAAAACTCTGGGCCTAGATGATTTCATTGGTGAATTCTTTTTAACTTTTGAGGGAAAAAGTAGCACCAGTCTTCCACAAATTTGTCCTGAGACTAGAAAAAGAGGAGAACTTCCCAAGTCCTTCTGTGGATCTTGCAAATCTGAAACTCTATACCCATTAAATAACACCCTGGTAATCGCTCCTCTGCGCTCTATTTCTTTGTACCTTATGATTATTTTTAATGTCTGTAGGCTTTGCAGTGATGTCTTTTTCATTCCTGATAATGGTCATTTTGGTCTTCTTTCTTGATCAGCAGAAACCTGTTAATTTGATTTGATACCAAATTATTACAAGGGCATTACAAGAAAGAAAATTACAGGTTAATTTCTTTTGTGAATACAGATGTAAATTTTTTGTGTATTTTTGAAACCAAGTCTCACTCTGTTGCCCAGGCTGGAGTGCAGTGGTACAATCTCAGCTTACTGCAATCCCCGCCTCCCAGGTTCAAGTGATTCTCCTGCCTCAGCCTCCCAAGTAGCTGGGATTACAGATGTGCCACCACGCCTGGCTAATTTTTGTATTTTTAGTAGAGACAGGGTTTCACCATGTTGGCCAGGCTGGTCTTGATCTCCTGACCTCAGGTGATCCATCCATCTCGGCCTCCCAAACAGACGTAAATGTTTTAAGAAAATATTAGCTAAGGCCGGGCGTGGTGGCTCACACTTGTAATCCCAGCACTTTGGAAGGCTGAGGCGGGCGGATCATTTGAGGTCAGGAGTTTGAGACCAGCCTGACCAATATGGTGAAACCCCGTCTCTACTAAAAATACAGAAAAATCAGCCGGGAGTGGTGGCGCATGTCTGTAGTCCCAGCTACTCAGGAGGCTGAGGGAGGAGAATCGCTTGAACCTGGGAGGTGGAGGTTTCAGTGAGCTGAGATTGCACCACTGCACTCCAGCCTAGGCAACAGGGCGAGACTCCCTCTCAAATAAAAGACATTTGTATTAAAGGTCTTGAAATGAAGAGACAATGATTAAACACATGGAACTTAAAATTACAATTAGAATTGGTACAACAGTAAAATTTTGCTCTTTGCTTCTGAAGGAACACCCTATAACAGGTAACTTTAAATTTTTTTAATGGTACAAAAGGGGAGCTAAATACCTGAAATTTTAACTAAAGTGAAACAAAGAAAAGGAAACAAATTTATTGCAAGAGATGGAAATTACATTTTAAAGGCTGCAAATAATAAAGAAATTTACTACACAGCAGACCCCTATTGTCTTGGCTCCTTCAGAAAGATGACTCAAAGGAAAACTGGGAAGTGGTTTGGGGGATAGCAGATCTGGGATATGGCGGGAAGTTCACAGGTTGGCACTGGCTGGGACAGCTGAGTTTTGAAGGTACTCTACAGTCACGGGGGTGCTGGGGGGCCTGAATCACAGTTACAAAGTCTTTGTACTGTAGTTTTGTTGTTTGTTTGTTTTAAGACAGAGTCTGGCTCTGTCGCCCAGGCTGGAGTGCAGTGGCACCATCTCAGCTCACTGCAACCTCCGCCTCCCAGGTTCAAGCAATTCTCCTGCCTCAGCCTCCCGAGTAGCTGGGATTGGGATTACAGGCAGGCACCACCACGCCCGGCTAATTTTTTCTATTTTAGTAGAGACATAGTTTCACTATTTTGGCCAGGCTGGTCCCGAACTCCTGACCTCAGGTGATCCGCCCACCTCGGCCCCCCAAAGTGCTGGGATTACAGGCATGAGCCACTGCGCCTGGCCTGTACTGTAGTTTAAACAGTGATTCATTAAAATCTGTTACTGCCAACAAAAAAGAAAAAAAACAAAAAACAAAAAAGCTACACTTAAAGCACACACACAAAAGAACACAGAAAATGTGCAGAACTGTAATATGTTTTCACAGCTGATTAAAAACAAATACTACCATTGTCCCTAGACTCCCCTTTGATACAATAGGTAAACAAAATGGACTTTGTGTGATTCATTTTGACATTTCTGGCACCCCACACTGTATCGCCATCAGTGTTACAGTCCCAGTTCAGATGTGCGGTACTTCAGGCGGGAAACACTGTCACAGGAATCCAGCTTTGCGTGGACGTCATCAAAATGCCAATCAGTCATGCGGTCACCATGTTTTTATCTTAATAGGTACAAAAAAAGCATTTGCTAAAATTCAACACCTATTCTTGATTTTTTTTTTTTTTTTTTTTTTTTTGAGACAGAGGTTTGGTCTGCAGCCCAGGCTGGAGAGCAGTGGTGCAATCTCAGCTCACTGCAACCTCTGCCTCCTGGGTTCTCATGCCTCAGCCTCCCCAGTAGCTGGAACTACAGTCATGCATCACCACGCCCAGCTACTTTTTTTTGTAATTTTAGTAGAGACCGGGTTTTGTTATGTTTACTGGGCTGGTCTTGAACTCCTGGCCTCAAGTGATCCACCCACCTTGGCCTCCCAAAGTGCTGGGATTACAGGCATGAGCCACCACGCCCAGCCTCCATTCTTGATTTTAAAAGAAAAGAACTTTTAGCAAACTAGGAAAAACAGAGTGCTTCCTTAATCTAATAATGGATATTTTCAAAACTACAGCAAACATTATACTTATCAGTGAAATATTAAAAACTTTTTCCCTAAGATTGTAAATAAGGTTATCTGCTGTCACTGTCTCTTTCAACATTATATTGGCAGTGTTAGCCATTACCATATGGCAAGAAAAAGAAATAAAAGGTGTAAGGATTAGAAAGGAAGAATGAAACTGTCACTCTTCACAGAGAAAACGATTACATGTAGAAAATTCAATATATTCTACAAATCAGCTCTTAAAATGAGTAAGTAAATTTAACAGGATCAATTATATTTCTATAGACTAACAATAAGCAATTTAAAATGAAATTTTTGGCCGGGTGCAGTGGCTCATGCCTGTAATCCTAGCACTCTGGGAGGCCAAGGCGGGCAGATCACGAGGTCAGGAGTTCGAGATCAGCCTGACCAACGTGGTGAAACCCCATCTCTACTAAAAATACAAAAATTAGCCGGGTGTGGTGGCAGATGCCTGTAATCCCAGCTACTCGGGAGGCTGAGGCAGGAGAATCGCTTGAACCCGGGGGGCAGAGGTCGCAGTGAGCCAAGATCACGCCATTGCACTCTAGCCTGGGCGACAAGAGTAAGACTCCATCTCAAAAAATAAATAAAAGATAAATAAATAAAATGAAATTTTCAAAAAAGATAACATTTACAAAAGCATCAAAGAAACATCATACTGAGGAATATATGTAAGAGAAGATACGCAAGGCTTTTATACAGAGAACAATTATGTGTTATCGAGAGAAATTAAAGATGACCTAAGTGAATATAACAGGCTGAAATGAGTGACACGATACTATGGAGGTGTTAGCTCTCCCCAAAGTGACTTATAGACTTACTGTGATTTCGGTCACACCCCAGTGGGTGGGTGTGGGTGTGTGTATTGAAACTGGACCAATTGATCCTAGAATTTTTTTTTTTTGAGACACAGTCTCACTCTGTCACCCAGGCTGGAGTGCAGTGGCACAATCATGGCTCACTGCAGCCTTGACCTCCCAGGCTCAAGTGATCCTCCCACCTCAGCCTCCTGAATAGCTGGGACTACAGGCATGCACCCCCATGCCCAGCTAATTTTTGTATTTTTTGTAGAGATGGGATTTTGCCATGTTGCCCAGGCTGGTCTCAAACTCCTGGGCTCAAGCAGTCCTCCCACCTTGGCCTCCTAAAGTGCTGAGATTACAGGTGTGAGCCACCACGCCCAGCCTGATCCTAGAATTTACGTGGAAATGGAAAGAGCTAAGAATAACAAGAACATTTTGAAGAATAATAAAGCAAAAGGACTTAGATACTGGAAATCAAGACTTTTGACAAAGCCACAGTAATTAAGACAGTAAGGTATCGATGCAAGGATGGACAGACAGCAGAACAAAATAGAGTTCTGAAACAGCCGTGCATGTACAGACACTTGGCTCATGACAGAGGTGGCACTGCACAAGCCGTGGGGTAAGAATGGTCTTTTCAAGATGGTGCTGGCTCCACTGAATATTTATAAAGAAAGAAATGAATCTTAATTCCTACTTCACACTATACTGAAAAATTGACTTGAAATGGATGATAGACCTAAATGCAAAAGGTAAAACCATGAAGCTTCTAAAAAATAAGATAAAATGTCATCAAAACCTTCAGATAGGCAAAGACTTCTTCAACTGGACTGAAAAAGCCCTAACCATAAAATAAAAGTTAGATAATTTGTTCCACACTAAAATTAAGAAATTTTGCTCATCAAAATACAGTTTTGGATGGCCAGGTGCGGTGGCTCACGCCTGTAATCCCAGCACTTTGGGAGGCCGAGGCAGGGGGATCACGAGATCAGGAGATTGAGACCATCCTGGCTAACACGGTTGAAACCCCGTCTCTACTAAAAATACAAAAAATTAGCCAGGCGTGGTGGTGGGCGCCTGTAGTCCCAGCTACTCGGGAGGCTGAGGCAGGAGAATGGCATGAACCCAGGAGGCGGGGCTTGCAGTGAGCCGAGATCGCACCACTGCACTCCAGCCTGGGTGATAGAGCGAGACTCCGTCTCAAAAAAAAAAAAAAACAACAACAATTAAAAAAATACAGTTTTGGAAGAAGGTACCTGCAATGCTTAACTCACAAAGGACTCACAGTCACAATAAAGGAGAAGAAGACTGACAACCTGATGGGAAAATGAGCAAAAGAAACAAAGAGACATTTCAGAGCGAACCAGATACACAAACAGCCTGCAAATGTATGAAAAGTGTTCATCCTTTTTGGTCATTTGGGGAATGGACGTTAAAACATAGTGAAATGCCGTGTATACACCTGCTGGAATGCTAAAATGAAAAAAAAAAACAAAATATCCATTATTGGCACAGAAAGAGAGCCACTGGAATTCTCATTTACTGGTGGGAGTCAAAGTTGGCACAGCCACTTTGGAACATGGCCAGTGTCTGCTGACGCTGAAAATATGCACACCTAAGACCCAGCAATCCCACTCCCAGGCATCATCCGAGGGAAAGGCATGTCCATGTGTACAAAAGATAACTCACAGAAACAAGTGTCCCTAACAGCAAGATTCAGAGAGCCTCCAGAGGAAACAATGCAAATGCCTGTCCGTAAAGATTAGACCAATCAATTGTGTGGTGGCCAGACAGTGGAACATGATGCGGCGGTGAAAAGGAAGGAACTGTTGCTATATTCCCTGAGGCGGATGGATGTTGCAACATAAATGTCAGACATTTGTGTGTCAGACAGAGTCTAGACACAAAAGAATATATTCCCTGTTTCCATTTATATAAAATTAAAAATAGACAAAGCTAGGCCGGGCATGGTGGCTCACACTTGTAATCCCAGCACTTTGGGAAGCCAAGGCGGGTGGATCATGAGGTCAGGAGATCGAGACCATCCTGGCTAACATGGTGAAAGCCTATCTCTACTAAAAATACAAAAAAAAAATTAGCCAGGCGTGGTGGCGGGCACCTGTAGTCCCATACTCAGGAGACTGAGGCAGGAGAATTGCTTGAACCTGGGAGGCAGAGCTTGCGGTGAGCCAAGATCAAGCCACTACAGTCCAGCCTGGGCGACAGAGTGAGACTCCATCTCAAAAAAAAAAAAAAAAAAAAGACAAAGCTAAACTGTGTGGGAGAAGTCTGGATTATGGTTTCCTTTGGCGGGGGAGAGAGGACATAGTGATTGGGCGGTCACTGGAGGGACTTGTAGGGCGCTGGTAGTATTCTATTCTTGATCCAGTGATTATTTTGTAGGTATATTCTCTTTGTGGAAATTCATTGAACTGGATACTTATGATTTGTGCACATATCTGTATGTAGGTTATGCCTCAATTAAGAGTTTACTTAATAACATTATGTAGCCAATAACAAAGATAATAATTAGTTGACCAGTACACATCTGGTGTATTTCCAGGTGTCAAAAATTATGTGTGCTTTCTTGGCAAAGCCAGACTCATACCTTCCTCTGAAATTCAGCTGCTTGTGCATTCCTCTGTTTGCATTATATTTTTCTCAAGAAAACTGGTTAGCAATGTAGATTACTGACTTAAGTTCTGACCCATTTTCTTATTGCCAAAGATTTGGTATCAGCTGATGACTACCCTAACAAAAAAGATTCGGTCATTTCCACTTCTGACGGTGACTAGAAAAAGCAAACTGTTTTTCCTCTGTTCTCACCCCATAACAGTCAACACAGAAGACTTCCGTGACCAACAGTCAGTGGTGGGGGCAGTGTCGAGTGGGGCGAGGGGGCCCCCACACACGAAGTAAGCAAGCAGTTCTGAGGCAGATGCCAACTGGGTGTCCCTCAATTCAATTCAGTTCCAACGCTGTCTACCTGGAAATGGCATCAGGTCCCCCAGGGTGAGGGCTCAGTCCCACAAGACTGTCTCCACGTCCAATGCCCAGCGCAAGCCCAAGTGTTCAACCCATGCTTCTGACCAACTGGCTATGAGTCAGGGTGCCCACCGCCCCCTCCTTAGGTTTGGTTAATTTGCTACAGCAGCTCACACAACTCTGAGATTTTTATTTATTTATTTATTTTATTTTTTTGAGATGGAGTCTTGTTCTGTCGCCCAGGCTGGAGTGCAATGGCGCTATCTCGGCTCACTGCCACCTCCACCTCCCTGGTTCAAGCAATTCCCCTGCTCAGCCTCCCGAGTAACTGGGATTACAGGCATGCGCCACCACACCCGGCTAATTTTTTTTGTATTTTTAATAGAGACAGGGTTTCACCATGTTGGCCAGACTGGTCTCAAACTCCTGATCTCAGGTGATCCGCCTGCCTCGGCCTCCCAAAGTGCTGGGATTATAGGCATGAGCCACCGCACCCGGCCTGAGATTTATTATGAAGGATATTGCAAAGGATACAGATGAAGAGACGTGTCAGAAAAAGGAAAATTCAAAAGAAAATTTTAACAGTGGCCCATGATGGCTGTAGTCGGGCACATGAATAATAAATCCTAGGCCTATAAATAAAGCTGACCTCTTGCCTGTATGACTGGAGTTTACGTAGTTCACTGACAGGCACTAGTCGTAAACCCATTTATCAGAGGTAGAACAAAGACAGGATGGAATTGGTCAACCCCTACCAGACCCTAAGTTGCCTAGCCTTTCTCCCACCCCACACAAGTGCACATTTACCTTATCGTATGGGTAGCGTCACTGAGCACCAATCAGAATCACAAGAATGGAAAGCTGCTTCCCTGCCTCGCCTCTGCTGCTCCCCCTTTCCGTGCCACATGCATCCCCCTGTTGGAAAATGTATGTCTACTGTGCCTCATGCAGCCTCCTTTGAGGCACGTTCTCCGTCTATATGGAGTCTGTGTTCTGGGCCTACGTCTTCCAACTTGGCTCAGAATAAACCCAGCCAGGTGTGGTGACTCACGTAGGTAATCCCAGCACTTTAGGAGGCCAAGGTGGGAGGATGGCTTAAGCCCAGGGATTTGAAACCAGCCTGGTCAACCTAACAAGACCCTGGCTCTACAAAAGAAACATTTCAAAATTAGCCAGGCTTGGTGGCATGTACCTGTAGTCCCAGTTTCTGGGAAGGCTGAGGCAAGACAATTGCTTGAGCCCAGGAGGTTGACGCTGCAGTGAGCTAGGATCGCACCACTGCACACTCCAGCTTGGGCAACAGAGTGAGAGCACCTCAAAAAGAAGAAAATAATAAAATAAATAAATAAATAAATGAAAAAACAGAAGAAACCCAGCCATGCTTCTCTAGTTCCAATGCCTGTTATTTCTCTTTTTGGTTGACAGATGCGTAGGGCAAGGCATGTGAGAAGCAGCTTGGAGTTCAGTGCCCTCCCCTACCGGTACCTCTACGTGTTTAGCTATCCCCGAAGTATCCCAGTCCCAATCTTTTGGGTTTTTATGGAGGCTTCATTACGTGGGCATGACTGATTAAACTGTTGGCCATGGGCGATCAACTTAACTTTCAGCCCCTCTCCGCTCCCTGGAGGCTGGGGGGTGAGGCTGAAAGTCCCAGGCCTCTAGTCCTGCCTTGGTCCTTCTGGTGACCAGCCCCATCCCGGAGCTACCTGGGGGCTGCCCGCCTTCACCCACCTCTTTAGCATATGAAAGATACCACTGTGGAGATTCTGAGGATTCTAGCAGTTGTAGGCCAGGAAGCCCGGATAAAAACCAAATACACTTTTCACAATATGGCAGATAGCTTTAATTCATCCTGAAGAGAGGAAACTCCCCTGTCATCAGCTCTTTGTTTTTCATCTTCCTCCCTTAGTGCTGTTGGATTGTGCTGATGCTTCTGGGGGCTGAGGATCCTTTGTCAGAAATGAAATAGCTCATATTTTATGTGGGACCTTGCTCTTAGAGGGCTACTGTGGATAGATAGGAAGCATTTTTGAATTGATCCCATTTTAAATTTTTTATTTATATTTAATTTTTTTTTGAGATAGCCTCACTCTGTCACCCAGGGTGGAGTGCAGTGGCACCATCTTGGCTCACTGCAACCTCCACCTCCCAGGTTTAAGCAATTCTCCTGCCTTAGCCTCCTGTGTAGCTGGGATTACAGGCACCCGCCACCATGCCTGGCTAATTTTTATATTTTTAATTCACCATGTTGGCCAGGCTGGTCTCGAACTCCTCCTGACCTCAGGTGATCCACCCACCTCGGCCTCCCAAAGTGCTGGGATTACAGGCATGAGCCACTGCGCCCAGCCTGTATTTATTTTTTTTTTTTTCAGACAGAGTTTTGCTCTGTTGCGCAGGCTGGAGTGCAATGGCACAATCTCAGCTCACCGCAACCTCCGCCTCCTGGGTTCAAGTGATTTTCCTGCCTCAGCCTCCCGAGTAGCTGGGATTACAGCCATGCGCCACCATGTCTGGCTAATTTTGTGTTTTTAGTAGAGACAGGGTTTCTCCATGTTGGTCAGGCTGGTCTCGCACTCCCAACCTCAGGTGATCCACCCGCCTTAGCCTCCCAAAGTGCTGGGATTACAGGCGTGAGCCACCACGCCCAGCAGTAATTTTTATTTATTAAAAAAAAAAAATTGTTTAGGGACAGGGTCTCACTGTGTTGCCCAGGCTGGACTTGAACTCCCGGGCTCAAGCGATCCTCCCACCTCAGCCTCCCTAGTAGCTGGGATTACAGATACTGACCATCAAGCTGGACTTCATGCCAATTTTTTAAATGCAGAAGACTTTTAATATAGAAAAGTTAAGAAAACAGAGGTTGCCCTGCAGCTCATGAGCTAGCACTGAAATGCTTTCATTTAATACTCGTCTGTTGAGTAATCTGCTGAGATTATATGCGCAAACCTCCGTGCCCATCAAGTTCGAGAATTTCTAATCCTAATTTCAAGACCTGTAAAGCTACAGTAATCAAGACAATATGGTGTTAGTGTTGTTAAAAGAAAAACTTTAGGGAAACTAAATTTAACAGAGTTTAATTGAGCAAGAGTGATTGAAGAATTGGGCAGCCCCCAGGACCGAAATAGGTTCAAAGCAACTCCAGGGCTGCACCGTGGTTGGATTTATGGACAGAAAAAGGGAAGTGAGGTACAGGAAAGGGAAGTGAGGTACAGAACCAGCTGGATGGGTGAAGCTCAGCCTTTGCCTCACTGAACACGCTTTGCACTGTTGGCCACCTGTGATTGGCTGAAACTCAGCCGCTGGGATTGGCTGAGACTCAGCTCCTTGGTACAAGAATCGGTTACAGTCTGTCACACATCCATTTAGGTGACAGTTCACTGTGTATGGAGAAACCTTTAGGCCGAACTTAAAATATATAAGGAAGCAGTTTAGTCTAAATTTAATTTAACAGCATAAAGACAGACAAATGGATTGCTAGAACAGAATAGTGCCCAGAAATAGACCCACACATTTACAATCAATAGATTTTCCATAAAGGTGCCAAGACAGTTCAGTGGGGGAAAGGATAATCTTTTAAACAATCGACGACGGAACAATTGGATATCCATATGCAAAAAAAAAAATGAACTTCAACTCTTATTTTCTGCCATTTTCAAAGATTTACTTGAAGTGGACCATCTAAGTGTGAGAACTAAAACTATAAAGCTTCTAGATGAACATGTACGAGAAAATCTTAGTGACCTTGGGATTCTTAAATCTGACACAAAAAGCACAAACTATAATAGGAAAAAATCAATAAATTTGATCTTACCAAAATTTGAAACTTTTAATCTTCAAAAGACATTGTTATAACAATGTCAAGGCAAGTCACAGACTGGGAGGAAATATTTGCAAAATGTATGTCTGGCAAGACTTGTATCGAGGATTATTATTATTATTTTTTTTTCTGTAGCACAGGCTGGAGGGCAGTAGTGTAGTCTCGGCTCACTGCAGCCTCTGCTTCCCGGACTCAAGCGATCCTCCCACCTCTGCCTCCCAAGTAGCTGGGACTACAGGTGCTCACCACCACACCTGGCTACTTTTTGTATTTTTAGTAGAGATGGGGTTTCACCATGTTGCCTAGGCTAGTCTTGAACTCCTGAGCTGAAGCCATCTGGCTCAGCCTCCCAAAGTGCTGGGATTACAGGCATGAGCCACTGTGCCCGGCCTAGAATTTTTTTTAAACCCTCATACTTGATAACACGAAGACAGCCCAAGCCGGGCGTGGTGGTTTGTGCCTATAATCCCAGCACTTTGGGAGGCTGATGCAGATCGCTTGAGCTCAGGAGTTCGAGACCAGCCTGGCCAACATGGTGAAACCCCATCTCTATTAAAAATACAAAAATTAGCTGGGCATTGTGGCCCACGCCTGTAATCTCAGCTACTTAGGAGGCTGAGGCACAAGAATCTCTTGAACCCAGGAGGTGGAGGTTGCAGTGAGCCGAGATGGCGCCATTGCACACCAGCCTGGGCAACAGGGCAAGACTCTGTCTCAAAAAAAATTAAAAAAAGAAATTTTTTTTAAAAGCCCAGTTTTTTTAATGGACTAAAGATTTGAACAAAACACTTCACAAACGAAGATACACGGTTGGCTAATAAGCCCATGAAAAGATGCTCAACGTCACTAGTCATCAGAGAATGCAAATTAAAACCACAATGAGAAGCTCCTACACTCCTGCTAGAATGCCTAAACTTTTCCAAGACTGACCATGTCAAGTGTTTGTGAGTATGAAAAGGAGCTGAGACTACCATAGGCTGCCGGTAGGGCCATCTTTTTTTTTCTTTTTCCTTTTTTTTCTTTTTTCAGACGGAGTCTCACTCTGTCACACAGTCTGGAGTGCGGTGGTGCAATCTCCGCTCACTGCAACCTCCGCCTCCTGGGTTCAAGTGATTCTCCTGCCTCAGCCTCCCGAGTAGCTGGATTACAGGCACCTGCCACCATGCCTGGCTAATTTTTTGTATTTTTAGTAGAGACGGGGTTTCACTATGTTGGCCAAGCTGGTCTTGAATTCCTGATCTCGTGATCCACCCACCTCGCCTTCCCAAAGTGCTGGGATGACAGGCGTGTGGCGCGATCTTGGCTCACTGCAACCTCCACCTCCTGGGTTCAAGCGATTCTCCTGCCTCAGCCTCCCAAGTAGCTGGGACTACAAGCACATGCCACCATGCTCAGCTAATTTTTGTATCTTAGTAGAGACAAGGTTTCACTACGTAGTTGAAGCTGGTCTTGAACTCCTGATCTCAAATGATCCACCCGCCTTGGCCTCCCAAAGTGCTGGGATTACAGGCATGAGCCACCACACCCAGCCAGGACCATCTTAGAACAGCCTGGCAGTTTCTGAAAAAGTTCAGTTTTTGCAGTAATTTCAGTTCTGAGTATTTACAGGTCTAGGAGATGTGAAAGCATATGTTCACACAATTTATGTGCACAGATGTTCTAGCAACTTTATTTGTAAGAGCCAATATATACTATGCAATTCTACTTATATAAAATTCTAGAAAGATGCAAACTAATCTATGTTTCCCTGGCAATAGGAGTAGGGTAGAAAGAAGGGCAAGGGATTGAGAGGCACCAGGAAACTTTGGGGTAATGGATATGTTCGTTATCTTGATGGTGGTGTCGGTGTCACTGGCCTATACAGCTGTCAGAACTCACCAAATGATGTACTTTAAACATGTGCTTTTCATTGTATGTCAGTTATACCCCAGTAAAGCTTAAAAACAGTTTTATAGAAAAGGAAATGTAAGCACAGCTCAGCTTTGAGTAGCACAGATAGTCAAATAATGTAACTATGGAATTTTAAAATCAAAATATAATTATATTGGGGCAATGGAAAGTATGTGCAATTTGGGTGCGGGGGTTAGGAGAAAATCCTCATCTTCCACAGTGGGAATTCAGTAGATAAAGTCTAAGACTGAAAAAAATTCGGAAGGATCAACATAGGCATATTAGGTTGCAGTGAGCCAAGATCACACTACTGCACTCCAGTCTGGGCAACAAAAGCAAAACTCCATCTCAAAAAAAAAAATATATATATATATATAAATATATATGCCCAGATGAGAGGGCTGGGGGGCAGTCCTCCATAAGATCATGTGCCCAGGAAGAAGTCTTCACGTTTCTAAGTGGAACCCTTTTACGAGCACCAGGCAGCTTTTGCTTTGAGGAGCTCCAGTGGTTAGTCTCTTGGGGATCCGAAGATTGGAACTTAGATGCTTAAAGCCTGCGTGAATTGAAGGATGCCCGCACTTTTTGTATCTCTCTAATAAGAGCCCCTTATGAAGGATAGTTAAGAAAATGTCATGCTTCAAAGATAATCTGCATTGTTTCCTCCTAGCCATGTGAGAAACACAAGCCTGGTGACCTATTAAGTCTCTTTCTCTTCTTCCTTTTCCAGGTGGTCACTTCTTTCATCGAAACTCCTTGTCCCCTCGGAGTCTGGTGTATGAAAGTGAATTCTCCACCATCGAACCTTCTTTGGACATGTATGATGAGAACAAAACCTGAATTTTAAACATGGCCTGGCTGTTGGGGTCACTGCTTTTGTGATTTGATTTCTGATCACCTTTCTTATTTTGTATTCTCCTGTCAGCATCCGTTTTGGAAGAATGGCAGCACTTTCCAAGCACAGGTTGGGGTTCAGGGTTAATTTGCAAAGTTCCCCCAAGGTGAGGCTTTGAGGACAGTAGCATTGCCCAGGTGAGCCTTGTGGTATTGAAAACCCGCCCAAGCTGATCATTGAAGGTGGGCGCCCAGCAAGGCTGGCTGTTTCCAGAGAAGAGGCCGGGCCCAGGATTAATGTTGCATTGCAGACGCATCTCTGAACAATCACATGCTGTTCTGCACCAGGGAAGCTGGGGTTTTTAACATCCTTTTGTGGTCCCTGCTTACGATGCATACTGCCCTGTGGGAGAAGCTTCCTACCCGCGTGGAGTACAGGTGCTGCTCCCTGACCTGGCTCTGGATGTTCCCCTCTCGCTTATTCTACTTCCTGCTGAAGGGCCCCTTCTAAAGGGGGTTGAGAGAAGGCCTTGCCTTTGTATCTCCTCTGAGACTCTGACCACCCACTTCCTGCCAGGGCAGGGCCGTGGGAGACCCAGGCCGTGGGGCCGGGTCTGTGTGCGGGGCCAGGCAGCCGTCTGCGTCGCTGTTTTCCAGCCTCCGTGTTGAGCATGACGTAAAGTGACAAGTGTTTAAGTCAGCACGAAAACACTGAAGGCCCCTCCGTCCCTGCAGCCTGTGAACACGTCTACTCGGCCACCCGTCAGTATAGGGAGTGTGTGTATAGGGAGGTGGCACCTGGGAGCCCAGCCCAGCAGTGTCTCTGGGCACAGTGATTTCAGGGGGATGGCCAGCAGTTGTGAAAGACAGAATGATCTGGAATGTCTCATTGGGAAGACCAAACCCCCTTCTCGCTGCAGATACCAGATAAGCACCCATCTTCACTGTCCACTGTGCAGCCCAGTCCCCTCCAGCAGCCCCAGCACAGCATGAAGAAGGCACATGAGCACCGGCCGACAGGCTTACAGGACAGGGTGCAGTGGCCAGCATCCCAGGCATCAGGGACATGTGGGATCTTCCCACACACCTGGGATGACATCGAATTAACATGATGAGAAAATTGCATCTTACTGCTAATCCCAGTACAGAACCACTATGGGCAAATTTATAAAACTAATCTGCACACCCTCTTTGCAAAAGGACACACCTGAGTTGAGTCTGCCTCTCATTGGCATGAGCTTTGTGGGGGCGTGAGGCGCACAGACCCTTGCTGTGAGAACAGGAACCCCAGTCTCCACATGCCCAGGGTCAGATCCGACAGCAAACGAAGCAGATGCGTGAATCCCCTGCCCTGTTCTCACTGACTGTGGAATATACGTTTGAAGTGAACACTTGCCATTTTTCCACGTGCAGCTTCTCCTAAAGTGTCTTTTCTCCTAACGCGTCAATAACGCCTCAGACACAGGTGTGCCTGAAGGAAACCTGCAGAGCCCCGGATGGGGACAGGCTTCAGGAGCATTGTCAGAGAGCGGGCAGCGGCATTTCGTTTTCGCTCATTTGAGGCTAGAATGGTGCAGATTTTAAAGGTCTTAGCAGCTTTTGTGTTTTACCTTTTACCAAGGGCTTTGGGGGTTTTTTTGTTTTGTTTTTCTTTATGATAGTCTTCGTACTATAAAAATATTTTCAATGAGCAGCTTCAATATAGCATCGTTCAGAAAAGCAGGTTTCCCCATTGGGCTCTCAGAGAGAGGGTGAGTCTGCAGGAAGCTGGAGCCCATTTGCTGGAGGTTCCAGACACGCGTCTGCATTTGTATGTGTTTGACCCACCTGAAAGGTAGGAGAGCTCAGTTCGGATCATTGCCGTGTTGTCTATACCACCTCCTTGTTTTCCCAAACCAAAACGCAGATCCTGATGTAGCATTTTCTCCTGATTTGAGGTCTTACCAATGTGTATACGTTAAATTCCACTCAAGACAGTTTCTTTACTGAAAAGGTATGAAATTACGTGAGAAGAAGTACAAATTTCAGGCCCCTAGAATCTGTCTATTAATATAACATTTGAATTTCTGGGAAATCTGGGGCACACATTCACGGTAGAATAACAAGGAGGCATTGCTTGCAGGGGAGCGTACTCAGAACAGTGCTGTGGATCCTGGCTTGACACCCTTTTCTGGAAAATTGGGGTCACTCTCTGGCTCAGCTACAGAATGGCCTGTCTTTGTCAGGAGGGACACTAACTTCTCATTAAGGCCATGCTCTTCAGGAACAGAGAGGATGATTTGGTTTTTGGTTTCAGGTTTTTATTTTTATTTTTGTTTTGAGACAGTCTCACTCTGTCACCCAGGCTGAAGGGCAGTGGCGCAACCTTGGCTCACTGCAGCCTCCACCTCCTGGGCTCAAGTGATCCTCCCACCTCAGCCCACCGAGTAGCTGGCACCACAGGCACGTGCCACCACACCCAGCTAATTTTTGGATTTTCTGTAGAGATATGGGACTTTGCCATGTTGCCCAGGCTGGTCTTGAATTCCTGGGCTCAAGCAATCCACCCCCACCTCGGCCTCCCAAAGTTCCGGGATTCCAGTTGTGAGCCACCATGCCCAGCCAAGAATGGCATTTTTTTTTTAATCCCAAATAACAGCCTCTTTACTAGCTGCTATGCTGGGGGAAATCCCTGCTAAGTCGGGACCCTGGCAGGAAGTGGCCGGGGCTGCTTGTCCGGTGAGCATTGTGAAGACACACGTCGCCACATGGGCAGCGCTTCCCTGAGGCGCTTGGGGAGCAGTGTTCCGCCTGCTGCAGGTGTGATGGGGTGCAGAGAGTGAGTGCCTCCGTGGTTGCAAGTCTTGCCACCAGCAGCGGTTATTAGGAAATGTATGATAACCTCAGTCATTGTTGAGGGGGGAACTGTTTGAAGTAAGGAAGAGGCTGAGGAGTCAGCTATTTACACCACACATCCACCCCCCTGCCTCCAGTGGACTGCTGTGAGCTGGGCCTGTGCCCGGGTGAGGAGACCATGGGCCTGTGTGGCAGGATCAGCAAGTCTAGGGCCAGGGCAGCCATCAGCATCCTCTGGGAGTTGGTTGTGACTATTGAAATGCAAATGCTTCCGCTTTGGTGATTTTTTTTTTTTTTGAGACGGAGTCTTGCTCTGTCACCCAGGCTGGAGTGCAGTGGCGCGATCTTGGCTCACTGCAACTTCCGCCTCCCGGGTTCACACCATCCTCCTGCCTCAGCCTCCCGAGCAGCTGGGACTACAGGCACCTGCCACGACGCCCAGCTAATTTTTTGTATTTTTAGTAGAGATGGGGTTTTACTGTGTTAGCCAGGCTGGTCTCGATCTCCTGACCTCGTGATCCGCCTGCCTTGGCCTCCCAAAGTGCTGGGATTACAGGCATGAGCCACCACGCCTGGCCAAGCTTTGGTGACTTTTAACATCCTAAGGGAGGAGTAACCCCTCTTTCCTGTTAATCCAGAGGGAGGGGAGGGAAGGCCAGATAGCCAGGGCTTCCAGCGCAGGAGGCAGAGCTTGGCAGCCACTGATGGTGGTAAGCATGTCTGCCCAGGGCTGCCTGCCTCTGCCCTCCTCTTGGGAAGACAAGCTCTGCCCCCAGCTAAAAACTCCTCACAACCCTGATGAGCCTTGCTTTTGCAGAGAGGCCCCAGCTCCCCTGGTGGTCCTCAGGCCTGGCTGCGAGGCACATTCACGAGGCACTGCCTTGAGCACTGAGGTCTGGCACCTGCCGGCTTCCCTGATGCGGCAACAGCCCCAGCTGCCAGTGAGTCTGATGATATTTGGAAAAGTATTTTTAAAAACGAGATTACTGAATTTTACAAGCTTGACATTTTCTATTGGCTTTATAAGCTCTTCTCATGTTTTTATTACCCTCACATCCAATCCGTTCGAGCTACACGCTAAATCAAATTGGTATTTTATATTTTTATTTTTTTAGAGGCAGGATCTCGCTCTGTCACCCAGGCAGGAGTGCAGTGGCACAGTCATGGCTCGCTGCAGCCTTGACCTCGCCTCAGCCTCCCCAGTAGCTGGGACCACAGGCTCATGCCACGCACGCCCGGCTGAAGCTAGTTTTAACTGAAGAAAACTCAAAGTGTTCTCTCGCCGTTAACCTTTATTATTGAGGCATTGGCTCTGCTATAGGAAAACGAGGTGACGTTAATGTCGGTGGTTGACATTAACCACTGGCAAGTGACAGTGTGGCTCCTTGACAAGTGGTTGCTGCTCATAAATGTCATGAAACAAAAACACTGATTTTAGAGAAGTGGGATTCTACAGTTAATATCGCCAGCAAACTTTTATTAAGCTCTCACTCTGTGCCAAACACATGCTTGAAGTTGGGGTGAATCTGTGACCATTAAGATGTTGGCTGTTCATGGGCACGTTATCAAGCAACTGGGGTGTGAGAGCGAATGATAAGAGGGTGAATCTGGATGAGGAGGGACTTCCAGGGCACAGGTGGAGGAGAGGCATTGCAGCCATAGAGAGGCCCAAGGGAACAGTCAAGACAAGGCGGGGACAGTGGCCAGGAGGCGAGGGCAGCACTTCCTGGGCAGGGAAGGCTTGCCAGGGAGACCAGACTCCTGTCTCTGTTTGGAAAGAAAAGGAACCGCACTGGGGGTCAGGGAGGCTAGGCACGGCACCAGCCTGGGATGCCAGTCCCGCCTGAGGGGCCAAGGCAAAGGGGAAGCATTCACAGACCCCACACCAGGCTCTGACGCCAAGTGGAAGAAGAGGGAGATAGAAGCAGAAGCCTGGGCTTCCAGGCCTGGTTCCTGGGCGGGTGTTGATGGGACCCAGGGAGAGTCCTGTGGGGATACTTTGGGTCTGGGCTGGCAGGGGCTCTGGAAGGAGAGGCATGGAGGTGCGAACCTGGTGCCCAGGTGGAGGTGCAGTGGGGGTAAGGTGGCCAGGCTGCAGACCCCTGCATCAGAATGCCTGCGAAGCTGTGGGTTTTTTGTTTGTTTGTTTGTTTTATTTCGAGACAGGGTGTCACTCTGTCGCCCAGACTGGAGTGCAGTAGCGCCGTCTCGGCTCACTGCAAGCTCCGCCTCCCAGGATCAAGTGATTCTCCTGCCTCAGCCTCCCGAGTAGCTGGATTTACAGATGCATGCCACCACGCCCAGCTAATTTTTTGTATTTTTAGTAGAAACGAGGTTTCACCACGTTGGCCAGGCTGGTCTCAAACTCCTGACCTCAAATGATCCACCTGCCTCGTCCTCCCAAGTGCTGGAATTACAGGTGTGAGCCGCACCAGCCTGTTTTTTAATTTTATTTAGAGACAGGGTCTCACTCTGTTGCCCAGACTGGAGTGCAGTGGTGTAATCTTGGCTCACTGCAGCCTCAACTTCCAGCGCTAAAGCAATCCTCCCACCTCTGCCTCCCGAGTAACTGGGACTACACACGCATGCCACTACACCCAGGTAATTTTTAAAAATTTTTTTTAGAGACAGAGCTTCTCCATGTTGCCCAGGCTAGCCTCAAACTCCTGGGCTCCAGTGACCCTCCCGCCTTAGTGTCTCAAAGTGCTGGGATTACAGGTATGAGCCACCACGCCCGGTCAGAAGCTGTGTTTTTAAGTGGACATACCATCTTGTCCTGCTGAAGTATCTCCATGTAATCACAATATCTATGTCACCCAAATCTCCTCCTTCCTCCTCCCTCCCCCAAAACACCCCCACAGGCATGCATACCCTCCCATGCGCTGGAGGCAGAATCTCCCAAGGGGAGCTGGCCAGGAGAGGTGTCCCTGAGTTCAGATGGAGGTGGAAGCCAGAGTGGGGCTGGGACCACCCAGTGACATGAGGATGGGGCTTGGGATAAAGCCCTGGGGACACTGACATTTAAAGTGTGGACAGAAGGAGCTACTGAAGGCAATGGATTTAGAAAAGCAATTGAGTATGATTTCCTTCTTCAAGAAAGGCTGTCCAACTAGCTCTCACTTCCTCTCGTGTGTTCAGTGTCACCCGGAAGCAGAGTTTAATGTGACTAAAGTCAACATTGGCTCACACTGTCAGGGAGTGTGGGAAGATGAGTAAGGACTCATCGCAGGGCGATACCCACAGCTTAAAATAGGCACCTTCCCCTCCCAGGTCTGGTTAGGGCAGTTGTTACATATGAGGGGCGTGGAGTTTTGTCTTGTATTTTGGCCTTGTTGGTAAAGCATTCCAAAGCTTCGACACACCCTCCTTTCAGCCCATTAGGAAAGGCTGTTGATTGTAATATTCACACAGCTCCCTGGGCTATGGTTAAGAGCCTTGCAGAAGGACTGGGAGAAGCCCTGTGTGTTTGAAGTATTGTAGCATCAGAAAAAAACACCGGAAGAAGGCAGGTGGGGACAAGGTGCCTATGTCTGCTCCTTGGAATTCCTTTCCTTACTGTCCGAGGCAACTACAGGGAAAGCAAAGCGTGAGCCCCCAAATCCACACCTGGGAGGAACGTTCCCCTTTGCAAGGCATGGGACTGGCTGGCCCTGTGTCTCACGGGGGCTCTGAGTTTTGAGGTCACACTAGCCTCCTGAGGCCTGGCTGAGAGGGCTGGGTTGGGGGTCAGGAGGCCCCCTGTAGCCACGAAGCTCCTCTGGGGCATTGTTAAAGGTTCACCCTCTTTTTTGTGGGTATCCTGGAAGATCTCAAGAAACTGAGCTTGGAAGAAGAGAGGCTGAGAGGGTCTCCCGCCGCCTGCGTTCTCTGCAGCTATGGCCCCACAGCCTCCAGTGACCATGGAGGGGAAGGTGCCACCCGCCTTGGCTGCTGAAAGGGTGATGCTCTTATGCCTGAGTCTTGGCTCCTGTGGTCCTGCAGAGACCCTGTGGGGGCCGCCCGGTCGTCACCTGCACTCATCTTGGGTTTTCCTTCCTTTTCCACCCTAAGCTGAAGGTATTTTTTTCCTGTTTTCTTCACTCTAACTTGGGGAAGAAGGAAGATCCTTTATGGAAAAGAAAAAAAAAAAAGCACCTTTGAACGTCCTGCAACTTGAGTTTCAAGCTTTCAGAAGGATTCGGTGCTGCTGGCCTGCTCAGACCTCCGCCTGGGCTGTGGAGTTCCTCCTGTTGGCCCCTCCTCTCTGTACCACAAAAGCTCTAGGCGGCCCAGCCACCCCTGTGAAAGCGGCGCCCGTAGCCAGACGCCAAGGCTGCCGTCCCGAGCCGAGGGTGGCACCTTGCCCAGCGCACGTGCATTCTCCTGTGGGAACTCGGAGGGCATGTGGTGAGCAGTCTCCTGTCAGTTGAGGTGGAGGCTCCCGGCCCATCTTTGCTCTCCTCAGGCTGCCCAGCTCCTGGCGGCACATGGTGGCCTGGCAAAGCTGACTTGGCCTCCTCAGTTCCCCACCCATCCGCGGATCATCGCCTTCCCTAGCCACCTCTCTCTATAGCCACCGACATCTGCGGAGCGTCACAGACTGGTTCTGAGCTGTGGTTTACAAATTCAACCCAACACAGAGTGAATTCAAATTTGCTTTTGGAACAGCCTTTATCTCCAATTAAGTGCAAGTATATTTACACTATGTGATATTAAAGGACTTCTCCAATGACTGGGAGGTACTGAACCAAGATGTTTGTAAAGAAACGGTGGGGTGAGGTGGTTAGGTAGAATATACCGTCCTGGCCATTTCTCTTCCTTCAGGCGAGTAAGCGCTCCTTCAGCAGAAAGGCTGCGGATTGCTGGCTGTGCTCTGTGGACTGGGCCAGTAGGTGTGGCCCAGGTCCAGGTCCTGGCACCTCTGCTGAGTGCCCAGCCTGAGATGACACATGCCATCCTGGAGAGAAGCAGAGAGGGTGCTGTCTCCAGGCGTTCTCCAGACAGCCTGGGCCTGGCTTGCTGAGCCAGCTGCAGGAGGGGATCTCCTGACTGGGGCTTGGGACCAGATCTGCTGCAGAGAGGCAATAACTCTGTCTAAAAAGAAAACTTGTCCCGTGTGATTACAAAAACAGGAAAAGGCTCCAAGCTAGGAAATGAGATTTGAGGTATGGAGAACATTCTCACCTGATGGAAGCATCCTGTTCCTGTACAGGAGGAGGAGCTGGTGCAAGCCCTAGGCCACATATGTCACAGTTGTTTTGGACCCTCCGTAGCTTTTATACTCATAAAATATTAAAGTTGCCCCTTTCATATTTGGGTCATTGAAAGAGCCCACCGTACTCTAGGTTCCTGCTCACTATGCACAACATCTCAGAAGATGGCGTACAAAACTATTTTTCTAACTATAGCACAGGTAATGTGGGGGTGGGGAGGCTTGGGATATACCTAAATGTGGCAAATGATTTATCTTCCACCTTGAGGGATGAAAAGGAAACTATGCACTTGAATTTTAATTAAAATTTTAATTTAATTCATTGGATAGCTTGTGCCAGAAAGAACAGTCAATATTCAAGAAGCAAAACTGACGATTAGCTCAGTTTCGGGCCTCCCTGTCGGGGGAGTTTTCTTGTCTGGAACACAAACACCTACAAGTAGAGTGTGAGCTGGTTCTTGACAATCAGATCTCATCAACCCTTTGAAATGTTCTGGGCAGCACAGCTCCTTGGTCTGCATGGTTGGTGTAAGTATAATCAAGTAGTGAAATTGTATGGTATATACCTATATGCCAACAGTGTACACCCGTATGTGCAGAATTTGCTAATATAACCATTTCAATAAAAACCTATTGAAAAAGCTGATTTGACCACATGGAGTATTGTTGGTGGTGACGTGTATCACTGAGGACTCTCTTGGTTACAAATGACAGAAAACCCAGCCAAAACTGGCTAACACAAAAGGGGAATGTCATGGCTCCCAAAAGCCAAAATGCCCAGGGGTGCCTATGTCAGGCTTGGTGTGATTTCACCCTCAAATGCTGACACCAAGACACATGCCAACTTTGCTCCTCATTGGGAACCCCATCCCCAGGCTCAGGGTGGCAGTAGCTCCATCAACACAAGAGCCAGTCCCCAGGAGGTGGCCCAGGTCAGGACGGTATTTCCCTGGCCCAACTGACTTGGTTGGAGGCACATGGCCATCACCAGCCAGCCCCTGTGATCACAGATAGAATGCACCGATGGCCTCAGCTGGCATGGGCTCCACCTTCACAGCCCAGGAGTCCATGTGTCTTCACCTGACAGACAAGAGCTGAGCGTTCTAAGGCACGGTTCCCACTGCAGAAAAACAAACGACACTGCACAGACGGGAGAAGTGAATGCTGGGGGCAAAGGCAGCACGTGTCTGACACGTGTGGAAAAGCACTGGAGCCAGAGGCCGGGTGCAGTGGCTCACGCCTGTAATCCCAGCACTTTGGGAGGCCGAGGCGGGCAGATCACTTGAGGTCAGGATTTCGAGACCATCCTGGCTAACATGGTGAAACCTCCTCTCTACTAAAAATACTAAAATTAGCCAGGCATGGTGGCACGCACCTGTACTCCCAGCTACTTGGGAGGCTGAGGCAGGAGAATCGCTTGAACTTGGGAGGCAGAGGCTGCAGTGAGCCAGGATCATGCCACTGCACTCCAGCCTGGGCGACAGAGTGAGACTCCGTCTCAAAAATAAAAAAATAAAAAAATTTTTTAAATGGGCAAAGGACATTTCTCCAAATAGACATTTCTCCAGATAAAATATACAAATAACCCAAAAGCCCATCATCAGTCATCAGGGAAATGGAAATCCAAACCACAGCGAGATACCATTTCCCACCCTCTAGAAATGAGCATCAAAAAAAAAGAAAGACAATAACAAGTGTTGACAAGATATGGAAAAACTAGAACTCTTTTTTTTTTTTTTTTTTTTGAGACGGAGTCTCACTCTGCTGCCCAGGCTGAAGTTGCAGTGGCGTGATCTCGGCTCACTGCAACCTCCACCTCCCGGGTTCAAGCAATTCTCCTGCCTCAGCCTCCCGAGTAGCTGGGACAAGCATATGCCACCACGTCCGGCTAATTTTTGTATTTTTAGTAGAGACGGGGTTTCACCGTGTTAGCCAGGATGGTCTTGATCTCCTAACCTTGTGATCTGCCCACCTCGGCCTCCCAAAGTGCTGGGGTTACAGGCGTGAGCCGCCGCGCCCTGCCTAGAACTCTTACACCCAGCTGGTGGGCATGTGGAATGCTACAGCTGCTTTGGAGCGCAGTGTGGTCACTGCTTAAAAAGTTAAACATAGCTGTACCACATGACCCAACAATACCACTCCTCAATATATGCCCAAGAGAATTAAAAACACATATTCACACAAAGACTTGTACACATGTTCATGGCAGCATTATTTATAATAGACGAGGGGTAAACAATCCAAATGTCCATCCAAATGAATAAAATGCGGTGCATCCATACCGTGGGGTACTATTCAGCCATAAGGAGGAATGAAGCATCAATACGTGCTACAACGTGGGTGAACCTCGAACACATGATGGGAAGTGAAAGAAGACAGACACAAAAGACCACATATTGTAAGGTTCCATTTATATGAAGAAATGGCTAGAATGGGAAAAATGTATAGAGACAAAATAGATTGATGGTTGCCAGGGCAAAGCCGGGGGGAAGTGGGGAATGGCAGCTAATGGGTAAGGGGTTTCTTTTGACTTGATAAAAATGTTCTGGAATTAGTGATGATGGATGCCCAGCCTAGTGAATATACTAAAAACCACTACGTTTTGCACTTTAAAAGAGTGAACGTTACGGAATGTGACTTATATCTCAGAAAATCAAAAAGAAGTAAGCTTAGCACGCACATACTAAGTGATCGATAAATGTTTGTTCTTTTTCTTCTTATAAAAAACCATTCTCGAGGAGTGGTCTCCAGGTCAGCAGCATCAACATCACCTAGGAACGAGTTAGCAGTGCAAACACCCTGGGAGGGAGGGGGCAGCAACCTGTGTGGCTGTTTTTTGTTTTGTTTTGTTTTCAGATGGAGTCTTGCTATATTGCCCTGGCCGATTTTGAACTCCTGGCCTCAAGTGATCCTACCACCTCAGCCTCCCAAGTGGCTGGGACTACAGCAGCCTGTTTGAATCAGCCTTCCAGGTGATCCTAATGTATACCCAATTTGAGAACCACTGGGATTAAGGAACAAGACGACTCTTTACCTCCTCTCAGGGTGTTAAAAAGTGCAGTTCTTCCAAATTCTTTCCCTCTAGAGAGCACAATGACAATATTAGTTCAGACTTCCAAGGTGTTGAAGAAAGCCCGCCTCTGCATCTTGAAAGCTGATTCCTATATCCAGCAACATTGAAGAAGACTGCAGATCACTCTGGGTGTCAACTGCATGTACCTACATCCATCGCACCAAGATTCTTGAGTGCCAATCACAGAAACCCACCTGGAAGTCAGGTCCAGCTCCAAGGATGGTTTAACTGCCCCCTTCCCTTTGCCCTCTAGCCAGACCCTGGTGAGGGTTCCAGCCAGCAGGGTGACCCCACATCCCAGTCGACCCCGGACAGGCCCCAGGCCCGTTGTCCCAGGTGGAGTTGACAGCCCCCTCATGCAGAAGGCTGTGTGTGGACTGGCGCTGCCCCTGCAGGCCAACACTGGGAGACCAGGGACCCGCATTCGCCTGCAGCCAGCCTCACACTTGCGCAGAAGCCGCCACTGGGCCCAGGGCCAGTCCAGACCCCATCCCCAGGGCCGGCCAGCCTCTGTGACCCGTCTGTCAGGGGAGGGGCAGCACTGATTTCCAAGGATGCAGCCCGTATCAGGGCCTCCTGGCACCTGCCCTGCGCTGGAAGATTCTTCTAGTCTCCCGGCCCCAGTGTCAGAATTCTGAGAACTGGCCGGGCGCGATGGTTCACTCCTGTAATCCCAGGACTTGGGAGGCCAATGTAGGCGGATCACCCGAGGTCAGGAGTTCGAGACCAGCCTGGCCAACATGGTGAAACCCCGTCTCTACTAAAAATACAAAAAAATTAGCCGGGCGTGTTGGCGGGAGCCTGTAATCCCAGCTAAAGAGGCTGGGGCAGGAGAATCACTTGAACCCGGGAGGCAGAGGTTGCAGTGAGCTGAGATTGCGCCACTGCACTCCAGCCTGGGCGACACAGCAAGACTCTGTCGAAAAAAAAAAAAGAAAAGAAAGCTGAGAATTAGGAGGAACTGCAAACCCTTTCCAGGCGCCCTTTGCAGTGCTAACACGCCCCGGGTTGCACGCGCAACCAGCCAAAAGCCGCCAAACTCTGCTTCTTGACATCCTTCTCTCACACTGCACAGCTTTCAAAACGCCAGAAGCCCTGCTCTGCACAGCGGCTCCCCTGTCTGCGGACTGGGCCGTTCCGTTCTGGACCCAGGCCGGAGGCCGTGGGCTGCACCGCTCCAGGAGGCCAGGCTGGCGCGCGCCCGAGGCCGGGGCTGAGGGGGCGGCGCGGAACTCGGGCCGCGTGCGGGAGCGCCACACGCCCGCCAGGGGGCGCCGCCCGCCCGGCCCCGCCCCGCCCCGGCCCGCTCCGCACGCTCCGCTCCGCACGCTCCGCTCCGGGACGCCGACGGCGGCGGGCGCTTCCGTCTCGCGGGCCTCGGCCCGGTGCGAGCGGCTCCGCGATGTGGCTGAGCCCGGAGGAGGTGCTGGTGGCCAATGCGCTGTGGGTGACGGAGCGGGCCAACCCCTTCTTCGTGCTGCAGCGACGCCGGGGCCACGGCAGGGGCGGCGGCCTTACGGGTGAGAGGCGCGCGGGCGGCCGGGCCTGTGGGCGCCGCGGCTGGGCTGGCGGCGGGGCTGGCGGCGGGCGGCGGGCGGGTCCGGTTCCGGCCCGGCCTCGGCGCGTCGCGGCGGACACGCACGCCAGCGCGCGGCGGGGCGGGGGCGCGAGGCCAGGACCCGGGAGCCGGGCGCGGAGGGGCCGGGGCGGGGAGGCGAGGGGCTGGCGGGAGGCGAATGCGCCCTCGGCGGGCTCTCCTCAGGTCGGCTTGGGGCGGCCAAGTGGAGACCGGCGGCGGCTTCTGCCCGGATTCGGCGCCCGCGAGCCCCGGGGGCCGTGCAGCTTCCCGGGATCTCACCGCCGAAAGTTGGCGAGACCGCCCTGTCCTCATCCTCCACCTCAGTTTCCCCAGGTGCCTCTAAGGGGCCAGGTGACGCCAGCGCACGTTTTCTTTTGCCCTCTTCTTCGTGCCCATCTCACCAAAGTATCGCCCTTTTAGCAAGATCAGAGGTCCCTGGAGCTGGCCGCACCCCCATTCCCCCAGCTTCTCCTCCCCCACCTTTCCTGCTCCTGGCTGCTCTCAGAGCTGCGCACCCAAGGCTGTGGGTAGCGGCACAGGGTGTTCCTGCAAGCTCGCCAAGGTGGCCCTTTGTGGGCCCGGGTGCCACCATCACACAGGATGAAGCTGGACAGGCACCCTTGGAGTCGTGCGGCCTGTGGGATCCAGGGGAGGCCCACAGGCCACTCCCTCCGCAGGTGGTGTCCGGGGCCCCTCATGCTCCAGGGCCTGCGCCCAGCACTGCAGGAGCCCGGCTGGCTCGGGCTCAGTGCCTGTGCTCTTCGGGGCACCGACTGTTGCCCTACAGGATTGCGGTCCCAGTGTTGCCAGGTCGTCCAGTTTATCAAGAGCATTTTCTGTGAATCATCCTGATTTTCAGTGTGAGCAGCTAATAGCCAGATGCAGACGGAGGCTTCTCCTGGGCCACGTTTCTTCATGTGGAAGAGACTGTTCTGTTCCCAGAAACACTCAGTGTTCCCTTCAGCTTCGGGTTCCCTCCCAGTGGGCTTCAAGGATCTCGGGCTCCTGTTCTGGACCCGCCTCCTAGATCCAGCTGTTCAGTCGGCAGCCCCTGTGGCTAACCTCGAAGCTACTGCAAGCCCGATGAAGAAAGCGAGGGACCGGCACCTTTTCTTCCGCCAGCGCGCCAGGGTGTCATCAGCGCGCCAGTGTGTCATATTCGCTGGTGTACTTGAAACACTTGTGCTGTGCTCGGCAGGCTTATGTGGGTCGTCTCATTGAACGGGCGGGTGCAGGTGCAGCCCGGTCTCTGTACACCTCCTTCCTGCGGGCTCTTCTCCTTTCCACCTCACTCTCCGTGTCCCCTGGGACCGAGCTCCCAGGGTCCCCCCAAGGGAACCCTTCTTTGAACCCTCTCCCAATCTCTCCCCACTGCTAGGTTTGGTGTGTCCTGCTGTGCCCTCTGACAGGGCCTTCCCTGTGCCATCATGGGCATCGTGGCCTCCTGAGTACTGTCCTCCCTGAAGAGGAGCAGACAGGGATGTGGTTTTATCCAAGCCATCTATTAAAAACATGCCAACCTAGACTTTTCATTAAAGAATCTGAATAGCTAGCTTGGCCAACATGGCAAAACCCCGTCTCTACTAAAAATATAAAATTTATCCAGGCATGGTGGCACGCGCCTGTTATCCCAGCTACTCGGGAGGCTGAGGCACGAGAATCGCTTGAACCCAGGAGGTCAAGGTTGCAGTGAGCCGAGATGGCGCCATTGCACTCCACCTTGGGCGACAGAGCGAGACTATCTCAAAAAAGTATTAATGGACTATGAAACAAAAGTGTTAAAGTTGAATAACAGCAATAAAAATTGTTCTGACATCAACAGGAAAAATGGTAACAAAATATTTTCAGATCATGCCAAAAGCAGCACTTCGTTAAAAGGAAGAAAAAATTTCAAGTAAAAACAATAAACAGGTTTTTAGATTGCTCGATAATTCAATTAGTGAATCAAACAATGATAAAAGCTATATATTTCCTGCTGATTTGTCAGGAAATAGTGACACTGACAAAGATAGCATTACCTAAAATATAAAAGCAAAGATAGCGTTGCCACAGACTGCTTAATGTGTGTCATCTATCAAAGGGGTATATGTGATGAGAAGAAAAACTTGAAATGCCCTCAAATGTTTCAGTTCAGAAATGAAAAAACTTTATATTTTCCCAAATTTGACAATTCTAAAGATCGACTTCTTCAGTTATGATTTTTTGAGGCTAAAAGAAACTTCCTTAAACTGTCGGTAATAAAAAATCAGTGAGTCATGGCAAAGGGGAGACATTATCTTTCTGTTCTTGATATGGAAAATAATGTTGCAGAATCATTGTCCTGTGTGTGAAGAAGCGATGAGTACAGGACCAGAACTGTCCGGAAGACGTATTTCAGGAGACGCACATGGCAGTTAGGAAAACATTGTGTTGGTTTTCTGGATTTTGTGATATTTCTGATATTGTTCTTTTTTAACTTTAACGTGTAGCTCTGTACTTTCTCGGTCTAAAGCAATACTTGTTTTGTAGTCTAGTTTTGTATACGTAAAGAGGGCTTCCCAGAATTGTTTAAGCTCTGGCCCCATGAAACTTGTATCTGCCTCTGCCTGCAAGTGTTTCTGAGCCAGGAGAAGAAGCAGATGCTTCCAGGAAGAAGTAGAAGGGGATGTTTTTGATCGGGATCAGACACTGGCTGAAGGCCTTTGACCGCAGGGGTCATTCCGGACGTTTCCCTCGTTGGGCTGGACCCTTTGGGTAGCGTCACCATCCTGTCTGCCTCCGGCCAGACTCAGCCTTCAGGGGCCTCAGTCCGGCCCTCCCCTCACCCTCTATGTCTCTCTGCCCTGTTCCCAGGTCTTCTCGTGGGCACCCTGGACGTGGTGCTGGACTCCAGTGCCCGCGTGGCCCCTTACCGCATCCTGCACCAGACCCAGGACTCCCAGGTCTACTGGACAGTGGCGTGTGGTAGGTGCCCTGAGTGGTGAGGGGTGCTGGGCAGGGCCTGCCCTGGAAGGGCCGTTGCCGAGAGGAAGGGGTGTGTAGCCCACGTGTCTGGGTGGTATTCCCTGCTGACAGCATAGCCCAAGGCTGCAAGAGGGAAGTGGAGGAGCCTTCGCTTCCATCTTAGAAAGGCAGCTCCGTGGCCCGGTGCGGTGGCTCACGTCTGTAATCCCAGCACTTTGGGAGGCCGAGGCGGGCTGATCACGAGGTCAGGAGATCGAGACCATCCTGGCTAACACGGTGAAACCACGTCTCTACTAAAAAACACAAAAAATTAGCTGGGGGTGGTGGCGGAGGCCTGTAGTCCCAGCTACTCGGGAGGCTGAGGCAGGAGAATGGCGTGAACCCGGGAGGCGGAGCTTGCAGTGAGCCGAGATCGCGCCACTGCACTCCAGCCTGGGCGACACAGCGAGATTCCGTCTCAAAAAAAAAAAAAAAAAAAAAAGGCAGCTCCACTGGTCATGGGGACAGGGCAGGAGAGGACAGCCCCATGGATCCCCATGTACCTCTAGGGACGCAGGTGTGGGGCTAGCCAATGTCCACATTCTCATGCCACCTTTTCTCAAGGTAGACGTAGTCGGCCTCATTCAAAGATTCCATATTTGCAAATTGGCCTACTCAATAAAATGTATTTGCAATCCCCAAATCAATACTTCCAGCGATTTTGTGGTCATTTGGAGACACTCATGGACACATGCACGTTCAAAGCAGTGAAAAATTTGACTCGCCTGATGCCCATGTCCCCAGCTGAGGCAGAACAGGACGACGCTCTGCCTTCTTGATTCAGCTCTCATACTGCACTCACGTGTCCTGTTCACAGTCTCTGCAGTGCCATGTTTTTCCCATGTTTGTGCTCGTTGCTGATGACTTGGCTGTTTAAAATGGCTCCCAAGCATAGCGCTCTTGTTCCTAAGAGCAAGAAGGCTGAGTTGTGCCTTGTGAAGGAGATCTGTGCATGAGAGCAGCTTCATTCAGGCGTGAGTGATAGTGCTGCTGGCCGTGAGCTCAATGCCAATCGATCAGGAATACGTATTAAATAAGGCATCTTTAAACAGAAACACATGTAAAACAGTTATGTATCGGTCAGTCGACAGAAGTGTGATTAGAGGCTCCAGGAACCTAACCCTGTGTTCCCCCGGGGTACTGGTTCAGGATTCGCTAACTCAGTGTTCGCGGCCACCTTACAGAATCTGACCACCTGAATAACGAGAATCCGCTGTAGTTGTCCTCCTAGGTGGAAGCGCACTCACCCGTCCAAGAGTGCGGAGGGAAGTCCCCTTTCAGCGGGTACCTGCTGGGTTGAGTTTGCTCTGAGAAAATGACAGTCCTAGCTGACGCTCAGACAGTGCTTCCTGTGTGCCAGGCACTTGCCTGAACCACCCGGTACCTCCAGAAGGCATAAGTACTTTGGTCTTCTCTATGTTGAAGGTGAAGAAACTCTGGCCCAGAGGGGTTGAGTAACCTGCTCAGAGTCACACAGCTGCAGTTTGGACCCTCTCAGTACCTCTCTGAAGCAGAAGCCACAGTGCCCTTGTTCTCCAGGGTAGTGGTTTCCCTTGAAGGCCTGGGAGAAGATGATGAGACTCAAAAGTTTGTCAACCTCACGGCTGGAACCCAGCTTCAGGAGGGGAAGGGTCAAGGAAGTAAAAGCACAGGGCGGGCGGCACCCCGGGAATAGCCCCACTCCCAGGTGGGCGCTCTGCACGGGCATCCTGACCAGCAGTGCCCTTCTCCTTTGCAGGACTGAATAACTCAGTAAGAGTTAGGAAGGGGAGTTTGTCCAAGGCCAAGCAGGGAAGCCCAGTTAGACCCCCGATCTCTGGCTTCAGAGCCTGAGTGGACCCTGGGGGCAGCAAGAGTTTGCCAGAGGAGGGGCTTCCTGTGGGGAGGGGACCATTTCTGAGTGGGCCAGGAGGTTGGTGTGTGCTAATGAGGAGAGGAGCTGCTTTAACATGGGCCCTTGAGATTTCCATCTCTGGCAGCAAGAGCTGCCCGTCCCTGGGGAGAGAAAAGTACGAGGGGCAGAGTGGGAATCCCTTTAGTCACAGCAGGCCTGGTGCTGGGGAGGGGCCCAGCCACAGCCACGCAGCGGAGCCCATGTACGTAGCCCCGTGCCACACACTTGACCTCTCCCCTCCTGCCAGGCCCAAAGCCCTGCACTGGCCCTGGCTGTGCCTCCCTTTCCTGCCAGCCAGGCTAGGCCCCAGAAGCAACTCACCAAGACCAGACATGGCCCTGCCAGCACCTGCTTAGTGAGTCCTGACCCTTGAGCCTGGTGTTCGAGGACACCTGGGGGTCTGCCTGCCTCCATTTCTGGCCTTGTCTCCCCAGCTCACAGCCTGGCCTTCAGCCGGACCACACAGCTGCAGGGCCTGGAGGAGCCACACCCCTCCTGGCTGCTGTGCCTAGTGTCCGCCATGCCAGCTAACCTTCCCTCCCGCTCCTCTGAGAACTGCCCAGACTCCACAGACCCATCCTTCCTCCTTACTCCTCTGGACATGACGTGTCTGCACACGCTTTTACGTGGAAGCCCATGAGGCCGGGAGCTTCCGAGGGTGAGGGCAGGCTCTGCAGCCAGGCACCCAGGGTTAGGATTCTGATTTGATCACTTCCCAGCTGTGTGACCTTGGGTAACTTATTTCACCTCTCTGTGCCTCAGCTTCATCTGGTAAAATGAAAATAATGGTACCTGTCTCCACTGTGTTCTGAGAATGAAATAAGATAATCCATGGAAAACTCTGAAAACAGAAACAGCATTTAATACTCTAATTAGCTATTATATTATTTTTATTCCCAGCACCTAGCATAGAGATGGAATAGTTTCTTAGTATGAAATGAAGATTGAGTTACTTTTAACTAATATTTTTAATGCACATATGTAAAAAAAGAAATGTTTTTTTGAGGCGTTCTCTTTCTGTTGCCCAGGCTGGAGTGCCGTGGTGCAATCACAGCTCACTGCAGCTCTCTGGCTAAAGCGATCCTCCCACCTCAGCCTCCTGACTAGCTGGGACTGCAGGCCCACGCAACCATGCCTCATTTTTTCTATTTTTTGTAGAGACAGCCATGTTGCCCAGACTGATCTCAAACTCCTGGGCTCAAGCGATTCCCCTGCCTCAGCCTCCCAGAGTGCTGGGATTATAGGACTGAGCCACTGTGCCCGGCCTATAAATATTTTTAATTAAAGTGCTGACACATCCACACAGGCAGCGAGGAGGAGATTTCTTCTGTTTTAGTTTTCTAGGAATGTTATGTGTAACAGAAAATAATACAGTAGAGTTGCACCACATGTAAATTTGACTTCCAAATTCAACTGTGGGTTCCTGGCAAAGAAACCGAAAAAGAAATCTCTACCTACCAACTAGGCCTTGGCCTCTGTGCATCAGGGAAAGGAGGCTGTAATAGAAATGCAAAGAAAAATGAAAAAAAAAGTTTAAAGTGAATTATGGATGACTTAAGGGGCTTCCAGGAGTAATTCTGGGGGCCTTTTGTGACTCACTGCAAGCTGTGTGATTCTGGGTGGAATCGTTTTCCCGTGGGCATCCTCCCCCAGGCCAATCGGGAGGATCTATCCTGTGGCCTTGCTTCTTAGGTCAGGGTCTGCTTGAGGAGATTTGACAAAGCAAACAAATCAGTCCCAAGCAGAACAGCCGGGCTGTGACACAGCCTTGAGCGGGTGCCACGGGCTGGAGCAGGTGACAGGCCCAGCCTGGCCTGGAGGGAGGGTCAGAGCTGTCTCCAGCTGGCAGAAGAGCCTGGTCAGGGAGGGAAGGAAGGTGGTCGGGGCAGGCGTGCCAGCAGAGACGTCTGGTTCACAGTCACACTGGCCTCCCGAGCATAGTGCCGTAGTGCTCTTGTTCCTAAGAGCAAGAAGGCTGAGTTGTGCCTTGTGAAGGAGATCCGTGCATGCGAGCAGCTTCTTTCAGGCGTGAGTGATAGTGCTGCTGGCCGTGAGCTCAATGCCAATCGATCAGGGATACGTATTAAATAAGGCATCTTTAAACAGAAACATGTAAAACAGTTATGTATCGGTCAGTCGACAAGAGTGTGATTAGAGGCTCCAGGAACCTAACCCTGTGTTCCCCCAGGGTACTGGTTCAGGATTCGCTAACTCAGTGTTCGCGGCCACCTTACAGAATCTGACCACCTGAATAACGAGAATCTGCCATGTCTTGGCTGAGGCTGTCTTCATGCCTGGTGGGTGGGCCTCCTGTCCCACCCCCGGACAGCTGAGAATGATTCAGGGTGTCATTCACTCCTCATCCTTGTGTTCATTCAGTACAGGCAAAACCCCAGAAACAGGTGCTGGGGGTAGGGGAGCCAGGCCAGGCAGAGATCTCCCCTCATCCCTTTGCTCTTCCCCCGGGGCTTCTTCCCCGATTCCTTAATGGGAGCAAACAATTCTTCCAGCCTTTGAAAGTGGCATCGTGCTGCCTTCTCTACGTTTTTGTTTTGTGTGTTGTTTTGTTTTTTGAGACGAGGTCTCACTTTGTCACTCAGGCTGCACTGTAGCCTCCGCCTCCCAGGCTCAAGCAATCCTCCCACCTCAGCATCCTGAGTGGCTGGGACCACAGGTGCATGCCACCACGCCCAGCTAATTTTTTGTATTTTTGGTTTCGCCATGCTGCCCGGGCTGATCTCGAACTCCTGGGCTCAAATGACCCTCCTGCCTCAGCCTCCCAAAGTGCTGGGATTACAGGCATGAGACACGGCGCCCAGATTTTCTCTACATTTTTTTTAATTTCCGTTGGGCCTATGGAGGACAGGGACCCCCTCCCTCCTAGGTGGGGCAGACACAAGGTAAGAAGGTGGCCAGGAGAAACTGAAGAGAGGGACAGTAGCTACTCGCCTGCCCAGCAGGAGCCTCGCTGGCCAGGGGCCTGGAGTCTTGTAGGAAGCTCCGGCTGCTTATCTGTGGATACCTAGATGCTCAGGAAAGAGCTGGACTCATTTATACAAAGTATGACTGTGTCTGATTAATCACCTACATAGCAAAAGCCACATTAAGTTCTTTCAACTTGAGGAAAAGTGTAAGTTAGCAAGCTTGCAGGCACACAGACTATTTCTAGGACACATAGGAGACTTAGTGACTCTCCCTGTTGGCTTCAGGGACAGGTGGAAACATTCTCTCCCACACGACTGTGATTCAGCCTGGACGTTTAATTTTTTGTTTTTTTACCAGGACCATTTATTACTTTGTTATGCACATATCCATCAGCTTAAGAGGGAAAAGCAGCTTGAAGATTCTGGTCACTTAGATTTAGCAAATGAGGTCACCCACTTTCATCTCGCTTCTTTGAATGTGCGTTTAAGGCCTGGGGAATTCATGATTTTTCTTTTACTTTACCAAACCTCTTCTAGGTTCTTCCCGCAAAGAGATCACAAAACACTGGGAATGGCTGGAAAATAACTTGCTCCAGACACTGTCCATCTTCGACAGTGAGGAAGATATCACCACCTTCGTCAAGGGCAAGATACACGTAAGGTTTACCCGCCACTCTCTGTTCTCACCCTTCCCTGGCCAGCAGTGTTCTCGTGTATTATCCTATTTCATCTTCACGATGTAGGGTGCGTCCCCATTTTACAAAGGTGGAGACTGAAGTGTCAGCGCTCCTTCTCTTGGAGTTGAAAGGGGCAGAGGAACTCGTGACCCAGGAAAACCCCTTCTTACCCTGGGTGGGCACTGGAGGCTGCTGAAGCCTAGTGCGGGGCTTCCATTCCTACCCAAGTGCCTTGGAAGGCGTACGCAGATAGACGGTTCTGTTTGCCAGAAGAGATGCTGGAAACAATTGGATATTTTGAGTTGTTTTTTATAATAAAACTAACGTTATTTTAAAAGACACATGCCCTTTACCCAAAAATTCCATTCTTGGCGTTTACCCTACAGTGTATTCATATATGCAGAATATACAGTTTAAAGGGCCAGGTGTGGTGGCCCACACCTATAATCCCAGCACTATGGGAGGCCGAGGTGGGTGGATCATCTGAGGTCAGGAGTTCAAGAGCAGCCTGGCCAACGTGGCAAAACCCCATCTCTACTAAAAATACAAAAATTAGCCAGGCATGGTGGCACGCGCCTGTAATCCCAGCTACTCAAGAGGCTGAGACAGGAGAATTGCTTGAACCCAGGAGGCCGAGGTTGCAGTGAGCTGAGATCGTGCCACTGCACACCAGCCTAGGTGACAGAGTGAGACTCCATCTCAATTAAAAAAAAAAGGCCAGGTGCGGTGGCTCAGGCCTGTAATCCCAGCACTTTGGGAGGCCAAGACAGGCAGATCACGAGGTTAGGAGATCGCGACCATCCTGGCTAACACAGTGAAACCCTGTCTCTACTAAAAATACAAAAAAAATTAGCCGGGCGTGGTGGTGGGCACCTGTAGTTCCAGCTAATCGGGAGGCTGAGGCAGGAGAATGGCATAAACCCGGGAAGCAGAGTTTGCAGTGAGCCAAGATGATGCCACTGCACTCCAGCCCAGGCGACAGAATGAGACTTCGTCTCAAAAAAAAAAAAAAAAAGTAGAGATGGGGTTTTGCCATGTTGGCCAGGCTAGTCTCAAACTCCTGACCTTAAGTGATCCACCCACCTTGGCCTCCCAAAGTTATGGGATTACAGGCATCAGCCACCGCACCTGGCCTGAATGTATATGTCTTTTTCTTTCTGTTAGGTTATTGCCTTAAGTTAGATTCATGGGAGGGCTCTTACCAGGTCAAAGTCGTGTGGTGCAAAGTTGCTTTGGGCAGGCCCATGTGAATTCCTGATACCAGAACTTCCTAAGCCTGGACAGACATTACCAGCTTTCTCAGCTCTTCTCAGTGCACTTTGGGGTTCAAGGTGAGACCTGGTTACCTCTATCTCCAGGAAAACAGGTGGAGAGAGCAGAAGCAAGCCTTTACTCTGGTGAGCAATTGGGCGATGATAATAATAGTAGTTGTGACATTATTCACTGCCTCCTATATGCCAGGCCCAACAAACGCATCAGCAGAACAAACCAAATGACTCATAGGCCAAGGAAGAAATGGAAATTAGAAAATATTTAGAATTGAGGCCAGGTGTGGTGGCTCACACCTGTAATCCCAGCACTCTGGGAGGCCAAGACGGGCGGATCACTTGAGGTCAGGAGATCAAGGCCAGCCATCCTTTGCCAACATGGCAAAACCCTGTCTCTACTAAAAATATTTAAAAAGTAGCTGGGCGTGGTGGCATGGGCCTGTAGTCCCAGCTACTCGGAATGGAAGACTGAGGCAGGAGAATCACTTGGACTTAGGAGGCAGAGGTTGCAGTGAGCTGAGATCACACCACTGCACTCCAGCCTGGGCAACAGAGCGAGACTCCATCTCAAAAAAAAAAAAAAGAAAAGAAAATGATTGAAATACTACTGCATGTCAGGATGTGTGGGATGCAGTGAGAGCAATACACAGAAGGAAATTTAAAGCCTTCAGTCTTACAAAAGAAGGAAGGATGGGCCAGGCGCAGTGGCTTATGCCTGTAATCCCAGCACTTTTGGAGGCCGAGGCGGGCGGATCACGAGGTCAGGAGATCGAGACCATCCTGGCTAACACAGTGAAACCCCATCTCTACTAAAAATACAAAAAAATTAGCCGGGCATGGTGGCGGGGGCCTGTAGTCCCAGCTACTCGGGAGGCTGAGGCAGGAGAATGGCATGAACCTGGGAGGCGGAGGTTGCAGTGAGCCGAGATCATGCCACTGCCCTCCAGCCTGGGCAACAGAGCGAGACTCCGTCTCAAAATACGCTGTGAGGAGCATCTTTAAAAAAGCAAAACTCTAAAGAGAGAGGATGACAAAACAGCCTTAAACCAGTACCTTTAAGAATTTAGACAAAATGGGGCTGGGCGTGGTGTCTCACACCCGTAATCCTAGCACTTTGGGAGGCTAAGGCAGGTGGATCACTTGAGGCCAGGAGTTTAAGACCAGCCTGGCCAACATGGCAAAACCTTGTCTCTACTAAAAATATAAAAAATTAGCTGGGCATGGTGTCGCGCACCTGTAATCCCACCTATTTGGGAGGCTGAGGCACAAGAATTGCTTGAACCCGGGAGGCAGAGGTTGCAGTGAGCCAAGATTGCGCCACAGCATTCCAGCCTGGGCAATAGAGTGAGACCCTGTCTAAAAAAAAAAGAATTTAGACAAAATGGGCACTTTATTAGAATAACATTTATTAATTTCCAGTTGCTTCTGCAACAAATTACCATCAACTTAGTGGCTTAAAAGAACACCAGTTTGGCTAGGCGCGGTGGCTCACACCTGTAATCCCAGCACTTTGGAGAGAGATGTTTAGATCGCAGCTGCGGTAGCACTGGTATAAGAGAAGAAAAACCCTTTTCCTTCTCCCCATTTAGGTTCTTGGCTGGGGCTCTGTTACAAAAGGCAGATTAACAAGACAAAAACAGAAGTTTACTAATGTGTGTATCTCATATATTCATGGGAGAAACTTGGATAGGTGACTCAAAAGTTTAGTTGGAATTGGGTTTACACAGCCTCTTAACACAGGGACAGGCCACTTAAAGAACAATAACAGGACAGACGAAAACAGCTTATGCTTCCAAGGGCAGGAAACTGTGAGAAGATAAATACGTGGGATGAAACCGATGGAGTAAGGTTTGTTTGCAGATGCGTGCGGTGTCATCTCTGGGCTGATAGGAATCTAGAATTGTCTCCAATAAAGGAGAACGTATATCCAGCTTTTAGGCAGAAAGGGGGAGGGAGGGCAGAAAGAGCTTTTCCTGTGTTTGCTGCTACTTAATTGCCTTCAGCTCAAAATACTTCTTATGTCAAAAGGGCATATTTTGGGATGGCATATTGTAGTTTCCTTCCCTGGCTACTCAGAAATAGAAGAAATCAGAACAGATCCCACCTTTCAGTCCTCACCTAGGCTCATGGCTGTCCTCACTGCCCATGGACAGAGGGATCGGGGGTGGCCCAGCCACCAGCACTGACCTTGACTGACTAGTTTATCTTGTAATTGTCTTTCTAGAAAATCAATGTGTACATTTTGAGCTGAGGGCACTGCTGAGGACCTGTTTTACCCCAGGAGGCTTGGGGCTGGCTCTGTGGCCCAGGGGGATGTCTCTGGGCACCCTGAGCCCTGTAACAATGCCAGCAGCATGAGGGAGTATGGACGGGCCCTGAAACTGCAGGTCCTGCCGCTGGTTTGTGTGCAGGGCCAAGAGGCAGGAGCCCCCTGGCATACAGGGGGCCAAGTGCAGGACGTCCTCCAGGATGTGATAAGAGAAGCGCTTTACAGAACAGAGCTGCAGGGTGATCCCATTTGGGCAAATAAAGGGGGAAAGAGGAAAACATACATTTGCTTATGAATCCATTGGTGTTTGCATGTCTGGAAGGAACCAGGAAAGTCACTACAGAGAGCGAGAAAAGATTCCCTTTTCACTGAATACACATTTCTACTGTATGCATTTTTTACCATGTTTATGGATAATGTTTCAACAATTTTACATGAAAATAACTGAAATATTCATTTTAAAAGTGTCAGGCCAGACACAGTGGTTCACACCTGTAATCCCAGCACTTTGGGAGGCTGAGGCGGGCGGATCACTTGAGCCCAGGAGTTTGAGACCAGCCTGGGCAACATGGCAAAACCCCATTTCTACAAAAAGTACAAAATTAGCCAGGTGTGGTGGAGTACACCTATAGTCCCAACTACTTGGGAGGCTGAGGCAGGAGGATGGCTTCAGCTGTTGGGTTGAGGCTACAGTGAGCCGTGGTTGAGCCACTGCACTCCAGCTTGGGTGACAGAGTGAGACCCTGTCTTAATTTTTTTAAAAAGCCTCTGCTCACAACTGGTGATGACAGTAGTTACGGGAGTTGCAGGAACTTTGTCTAGAGAGTCACACAGGCAGCGTCTCTCATCCATGTGCCTTGACTGCAAGCCAGCAAGAGCCACTGACTGTTCCCAGCTGTGCCTGTAGCCCTTAGACCAAGGTCCATGAGTCCTGGGTTCCCTGGGCCTCTCTGCTCCACCCTTTGACCTGTCCGGGACTGTGCAGGGCAAGCCCTTGTCCTCTTGCCTTCCTCCAGGGAATCATCGCAGAAGAGAACAAGAACCTGCAGCCCCAGGGAGACGAGGACCCCGGGAAGTTCAAGGAGGCTGAGCTGAAGATGCGGAAGCAGTTTGGGATGCCTGAGGGCGAGAAGCTGGTGAATTACTACTCCTGCAGCTACTGGAAGGGCCGCGTGCCCCGGCAGGGCTGGCTGTACCTGACGGTCAACCACCTGTGCTTCTACTCCTTCCTGCTGGGGAAGGAAGGTGAGCCCGCCCCTCAGTGTGCCCCAGCCCCCACACCCTCAGCCCCTCCCTGCCTTCGGCCCCCAGATACTCCATCCCCACATGGCCACCAGAGGGGTCTCCCTGAAACCCAAATGCCACCTTAGCGGCCCAAGATGGGACTGTCCGGCCTTGGCCAGGCGTACACCTGCTCCCAGCCGACTTTTACCATGCCCCCCACTCGCTAGTAGGGTTCTCTACATGGTGACTCCGCGTGCCTGCCCTGCCCTCTTCTGCTGAACTGGCGTATTCAGGCACACGTCTGTCCCAAATTCCTGGTGATTCCATGTCATGCAATGCCTTGGGTGCGTGCCACAGCCCTCATCTGCTGCAGGTTCCTCCCTACAGACATCCCGGCCACAGGATGCGAGCCTGATTTCCCAGCAGCTCCAGAAAGAGCCCCAGGGTCTTAGCCATCCCCAAGCCCACCAAGCCCTCCTCCCTCCTTGCCTCCCTCAGCCCACAGCCTCCCTGTGCCCCCTCCTGCCCTTGCCGCTTACCTGTCACGACCAGGTGGCCAGTCACCTCCCGTCAGCAGGGGCTGTGTCCTGTTCTGTGTTGGCCGCGCTGTGCTGTGACTGTTCACACCTCCGTGCGCTCCCACTTGGGGGAGCTGCTGGGTGGGTCTCGGTGGTTCACCTCCGCACGTTCGTTCCTTTCCCCTTCAGCCACTGGTGGGGGAGACACTCACCGTGTGTGGTTGGTCTGGAAGGCAGTGGACACCTCAGTGGCCTGGTCCCTCCACATGGAGGGCGTGACACAGCCCAGACAGGCCTGGGCACACAGGAAGTGCTGCCCCCAGAGAGCAGTTCCCTGGGATGGGTCTGGGGTACAGATGGGCATCAGGAGCCTCGCCCTGCCAGGCCCTAACTTGCGGTGTGTCTATCTCTGTGGGCACAGTGAGCCTCGTGGTGCAGTGGGTGGACATAACGCGTCTGGAGAAGAACGCCACCCTGCTCTTCCCCGAGAGCATCCGTGTGGACACCCGCGACCAGGAGCTCTTCTTCTCCATGTTCCTCAACATCGGCGAGACCTTCAAGCTCATGGAGCAGTTGGCCAACCTGGCCATGCGGCAGCTGCTGGACAGCGAGGGCTTCCTGGAGGACAAGGCCCTGCCTAGGCCCATCCGGCCACACAGGAACATCTCAGCCCTGAAGCGGTGCGTTGCCCTCCAGGGCTGGGGTGGGCTCATGTGAGCCAGGTTCGCTGACCTTGGCTGGGACCTGCCTGGTCCAAGTGTGTAGACCTGGAGAAGGTGTCCACATTCACCCCTCATGGGCTCCCCACTTGGGAAGGAAGCCAGGTAAACAGATCATTGCAGTCCCGTGTGGAGAGGCAGCAGGAGATAGCAGTGATGTCCTGAGGATACCACTAATGGGGAGGAAGCTCTTCACACTTTATTCCTCTTGGCCCTATGATGGGAAGGGGCTCTTACCATCCCTAGGTATCAGACAAGGAAGCTGAGGCACAGAGAGGTTAAGTAACTTGCCTGAAGTCCCTCGGTTAGTGAGCAGTGGAGCCAGGATGTAGCCACCTCAGCCAGGGTGTTCTGACACCCCCAGAAAGGCTTTGGTAAATCTGGGCTCAAGTGCACGGCCTCCGTCCCACCGTGATTGACAGCTCTCCTGTATACCCTGAGACTCCTTGGCCAGAGGCCTCTCACAGCCATGGGACCCCCAGGGGTCCTGAGTTTGACGTGGAAGCAGACCTCTGGGTCTGAAGCCAGCCAAGGAGATGGGCCATGTGTGGGTCTGAGTTCCCTGCTGCCCTGTCCAGGGGACCGATAGGCAGGAACACATCATAGCAGCCAGCCCTCCCGGGCTACTTAACGTTTGGGTTCCTAGGTTGTAGCTTATGGGAAACTCCAGAGGCTGGACAAGATCTCTGAGGTTCCCTGGGTCCCACAGCCAGCCTGACCACAGCCAGATTCACACCCTTGTGTTGAGCGACCTCATTCCAGCCAGGCCATTTCCTGCATTGCACCCACAGACTGTGGTCCAGGCCCAAACTCTGGGGTCCACCTCCAGGACCAGAAAATTGTGCAAGCATGTTGTCCTTGGGATGCAAGTGACAGGTTGGCTTGTTGGACCTTTTGGAAAGAACACGAGCAGAGATGGAACATGACTGCTCCTGGCACTGCCGGTGAGAATGCAGTCAGGCCCTGGTCAGGCCACTGCGGCCCAGGGCAGGCAGGAGGCTCCCTTTGGGGCTGGGAGAGTTTATGTGGACAGAGCCACCAAAGGGGTGAGGGCCTGGGCCAGGCCACTGTCACAGCCATCAGATACACAGGTGTGCATTTCTGTTAGCAGCCGCATGCTTTAGTTTAAGCTCCACACCTCCCTGTGGGGAGCTCCTCACCTAGGTTTCAAGGTGAAACCTGGGGTTAGGCCTGCCCAGGGTGGAAGAGCTGCCCGGGGCCCTCCATCTGAGTGGGATCCAGGGCAGGTGCTCTGGGCTCTGCTTGCCCATCAGTACCGAGGGATGGGTTGCACATTGCCCAGGCCAGCATCTAGGTGTGTCCTTTTCAAAGCAGTCTCAGGACACATTGCTTGCTGGCCACTTCTCCGCTGGTTATGTGACTGTCTCACCTTCTGCCTGCTCACTCAGCATGCATCTTTTATTGAACTCTGAGGTCCCTGAGCATGACTTGCTCAAGGGACCACCCCAGGGATCCTGAATCTGATGTGGAAACAGGCCTGGGGAGGCCCCAAGGCTTCCTTGAGAGTGTGCTGGTCCTGACCTTGTCCCCTTTCCTCCTGTCCTCCTACCTTGTTTCCCCAGAGACCTGGACGCCCGAGCCAAGAATGAGTGCTACCGAGCCACGTTCCGGCTGCCCAGGGATGAGCGGCTAGACGGCCACACAAGCTGCACCCTGTGGACGCCGTTCAACAAGCTGCACATCCCTGGCCAGATGTTCATCTCCAACAACTACATCTGCTTCGCCAGCAAGGAGGAGGACGCTTGCCACCTCATCATACCCCTGAGGGAGGTCAGCATCCCCTAGTTGAGAGGCCAAGGCCTTTCCAGCCCCGAGGTGTCAGTGGGCTCAGGGACCAGCCTGTCCTGCTCTGCCCTGTCTCACTGGGGGGTACCTGGGAGGATGCCCTAGCCCAGGCAGTCACATGTCACTCAGTGATGGGACAGGTGGAGGGTGTAGGACAAGTGAGCCCCTCCACAGGCACCTGCCCTGTTGGGGAGGCAGGTAACATGGTGGGGGCACACTGCTTGCCCTCTCAGGTCACTTGCCTAGTGGAGACAGGGTCTCCCACGCGTGAGTTTCCATCAGGCCTGCCTTCTGGGCCCTGCAGGGCAAAGTGCTGCTCCGTGGCTGCGCTTAGAGGACCGTGTTCCTGCACCGGTCCCATATGTCACTCTCAGAGGCCACCTCACCAGTCCTCTCTGGACATACCACCTTGGCGTGGCTCGGCTCCAGCAGGCCATCAGAGGTCGGCTCTCCCCTGTGGGGCGGCGTCGGCTCTCCCCTGTGAGGCTGCATTGGCTCTCACTTGCTCCTTCTTGGGTTTCTTGGACTTCCACAGTGACCCTGGTGGGAGCAAGGCCATCTGTCCTGCACTGCACCGAAGGGGTGTGGACAGCAAGGACAAGGGCCCTTGCCCAAATAGAAGGCATGAGACTGAGTCAGGACAGGTCCCAAGGCCTCCTTTTCCTTGTGGCCAAGCAGGGCTCTGACTGTTTAATTATAAGAAGAATCAAGTGAGATTCTTAACTTAAAGACCTCCCTGCCATTTGCACAAATCCCTCAAGTTGCAGATGTAGCTGAGAATAGGTGTGGGAGAGTTGCTGCCTCAGTTTCCCCAAGGGAAGTCAGAGGGAAGGAACTCAGAAGAGCCACAGCTCCAAAAGCTCCAGGTTAAGAGGCTCAGGTGTGACCCGAACCCCACATTCTGTTAGCACCAGGGCCCTGTGGATCTGTCCGGGGCACTGTACTGACCTGTCCCCCAGGCCTAGGGGTCTTCCTGACACCTGAGGCTCCGTTTGGATTTCTCCTGCCGGGCCCTTGACATCTCAGATGGTAGAGAGCCCTGGCGGAGCTCGGGGAGCAGGACTAGCTCACACTGGAGGACTGAGTGTGCTCTGGTGATGGAACTCTGCAGCTGGTCAGGGTGGGGGCCGCCTGCCCAGCCAGCGCTGACCCCTCAACACACCTGCTCCTCCACGTTCCAGCCTGCAGGCTTTTGCGCACGCAGCTCACTCTGCTGTGGGTGTAGTGGACTCTTGAATTTCACTCCCAACCACCCGCTTCCATGCTTCCCTCGGGAAGTGACCCCTCTTCCACCCTTTGCCCAGGTAAAAGCCACGTATCGGCCTAGATTCCGACCTCTCCCTCCTCCCTACAGCATGTCTTGCCAGCTCACCCCGCAGAGCTCAGCCCTTCCTCTCCACGGACACCACCTAAGACACCATCATCTGCTTTAGCCACTCCCTAACCACACTGAACCCCAACCCCCGCCTTTTTTTTTTTTTTTTTTTTTTTTGAGACAGGGTCTCACTCTTGCCTGGGCAGGAGTGCAGTGGTGTGATCATGGCTCACTACAGCCTCCATCTCCCGGACTTAAGTGATTCTCCCACCTCAACTTCCCGAGTAGCTGGGACAGCAGATGCTTGCCACCACACCTAGCTGTTTTTTTTAAATTTTTAACAGAGACAGGGATTCATCATGTTGCCCAGGCTGGTCTCAAACTTCAGGATTCAAGTGATCCTCCCTCAGCCGTCCAAAGTGCTGGGATTACAGGCCTGAGCCGCCACACCCGGCCTAACACACTTAGCCCCTTTATGGCGTATCCTCCCACAGCAACCAGCAAAATTCGAAATGTCAGTGGGAGCATGTTGGCACCCTGCTTAGAGTCCTCTAGAGTCTTCTCCCACCTGCCTCCTATGACCTGTGAGACCTTCTGTGCGCCTCTCCCACCTGCCTCCTGTGACCTGTGAGGCCTTCTGTGCGCCTCTCCCCCTCTCAGACCTGCGCCCAGGCACACCCCATGGATATGTTCACACACAGACATAAAAAGTGCACACTCAGACTGGGCGCGGTGGCTCACGCCTGTAATCCCAGCACTTTGGGAGGCTGAGGCGGGTGGGTCACGAGGTCAGGAGATCGAGACCATCCTGGCTAACATGGTGAAACCCGTCTCTACTAAAAATACAAAAAATTAGCCGGGCGTGGTGGTGGGCACCTGTGGTCCCAGCTACTTGGGAGGCTGAGGCAGGAGAATGGCGTGAACCCGGGAGGCAGAGCTTGCAGTGAGCTGAGATCGCACCACTGCACTCCAGCCTGGGCGACAGCGAGACTCCGTCTCAAAAAAAAAAAAAGTGCACACTCACCTCCACCACTGCCCAGCTCACACTGTCCTGGCTTCTCTGGCCTTCTCTTCCTCCCTCAGGCAGTCCTACTCCCCTCTGCAGGGTGACTGCTGTGCCCCCACCCATCTCTTCCCCAGCACTCACCTGGCTGGACCAGGTCTCAGCTCAGTGGCCGCCTCCCCTGGGACCACCCAGCCTTCCCTCTTCCCAGCACTCACCCCTGCTGACTGTGCTCAGCTGGTGCATCCCTCGTCCGTCTCCCTGCCAGGCCTTGGGCTCTGCAGAGGTGCCCACTGAAAGCTTGTCCTGTGCCCTCTACACCTCAGAGGGGTTCAGAGCCAAGCTCCAGGACCCCTGCTGTCAAAAAGTGTTCCCTGGGAACAAGTGCAGGGAACAGTCCTGCAAGCAAGGGACTGCTTGCCCTGCTTTCGGACAGCCTTCTGAGAGCCAGTGAAGGCCAGCAGCTGGGCTGAACACTACATCATCCTCAGAACCACCCTGCACAGCCGGTGTGCTCCCCGCCATCGACAGGAAAAACGGGCCCTTAGAGGCACAGGCAACTTGCTCGGGGTTAGGTGCAGCGGGTGGCAGAGTCAGAATGTGAGGACAGTTGGGCCACTCACTGCATTGTGCCCAGGAGAGGACAGCTGCATGACAGTCTGCCATTCACAAAGCATGCCCAGCTGCAGGGCCTGAGATGCAGACACCCAAAAGAGTTCTTTCACCTTCTCAGGTGACCATTGTCGAAAAAGCTGACAGCTCCAGCGTGCTGCCCAGCCCCCTGTCCATCAGCACCAAAAGCAAAATGACATTCCTGTTTGCCAACCTGAAAGACCGTGATTTCTTGGTGCAGAGGATCTCTGACTTCCTCCAGAAAACACCATCCAAGCAGCCAGGCAGTATCGGGAGCAGGAAAGCCAGTGTTGTGGACCCTAGCACAGAGGTGAGAAGCCCCTTGGGAGCAGCAGGGTCGAGTTGGGCCCAGGAAGAGCCAGGGCATCCATCAGCCTCCCCGCTGGAGCCTGACCCCATGGTTCCGGCTGTGGGCCTCCGCCTAGGGGTGGATGTGTCAGAGCTGGCAAGAGACCCCTAGCCCAGACCCACACTGCCCAGCAACATCACAGCCTCTCTGCACCCCCAGCCACACACCCGGTACTCCTCACTCCTGCTGGGCCCATTGCCCATGAGGAACCTTCTCTGGCTGTCCTTTCTGCATTGCTGCTGCACTCAGAGCAAAGCCACACTGTGGAGGCCTGTACACTTCGGCTTTGTTCCCATGACCTTCCCTGCCAGGCGTTCAGGCTGAAGTTCTTGACGGTAGAACTGCAGTATCACTATTGTACCAGCAAACTTAACAAGAATTCCTTAATATCACCAAATATTGTATTCACACTTCCCCGTGTGCAAGTGTACTTTTCACGGTTTGATTATTTGAACTGAGGCAGACGAAAGTCACACATGTCACTCTTGGTTGATAGGTCTCTTAAATCTGTTTAATCTACGGGCTTCTGCTCCACCTAGCTCTCGTTTATTCTTCCACAATATTTTTTTGAAGGAATCGGTCACTTGTGCCATAGAGTCTCTCATCGTCTGGTTTTGCTGATTGCATCCGCTGCAGGCGTTTAGCAAGCTCCTGTGTCTCTTGTTTAAGTTGGTTGAGCGGTGAGACCGAGAGCCGTGATCACATTCAGGCTCAGCTGATTTTGGTTCTGGCAGGTCCGCCTGTGGGCAGGCTTGAGGTGCTGTTTATTCCCAACAAGAGATGTCTGGCAACCAGCCACCTCTCTATGCTACTGTCAGTCATTGAGAATATGCCTGGATCCAGCGGCCAGTGGCCAGCGGCATGCTCATTCCATTCCTCCTTTCGTCTGGGAGCTGAAATTCTCCCAAAGAGGGAAGCTGACCCCAGGCACAGTTCATAGAGGAAAGGTGGAATACATGTTTTACTCTTTCCTCTTACTCACCAGTTGTCAAAATAATGATGAGTTGGTTTTCTAGTGTCTTCCACATGTGACCAGTGAGTTTTTTGGTTTACTTTTTATTGTAATTATGAACGTATGGATTTAAGCAACTTGATGTGTGTCTTTCCACTGGAATCACTATGCTTATTCTGTCTGTGGCCAGAGGGGCTCATCTGGTCTAGCCCTGAGAGTCCCTGGGCACGACACTGGTCGTCTTTGATTCCTTGCTTTCTGGTGTGACAAGATGGATGTGCTGCTGCTGTCGTTGAGTCTGAATTTGCAAAAACATTTGGCCATTAGAAGAGTCCATATGCAAATTCACAGATCCAGCTTCTCTAGAAAAGTCAGTGCCCAGCCCTAAAGGCCCCATCCCATTGGGCAGCGGGCGTGGGAGCTGGGGCTGTGCGTGTCCTCCATGCTCTAGAGCCGTGTGTGGTCTGGCCCAGGCAGACCTTTACATTGTCTGCCCCAGTAATAGATGCTAAATAAATTACTACGTCAGTGAGCGCATGGGAAGGGGTGGGCGGAATCAATGTGGATTGCAGACATGAAGAAAGGTGTGGAGAAGGTTGGGCTTCATCTGGGATTTCAAGAAAGAGTGAAGTTGGATTGAGTGGCAGGGGCAGTGAACAGGGTGGTCGAGCCTCCTCTGCCTCCATGAGGCCCCACACTTCCTGAAAGCTGAGTAAGCACCACTCACGGCCCCTCCCAGGCACTCGGCTTCATGCATCCAAACACATTTTATTGCATTCCTGTTAGGTGCCAGCTGCTATTCTAGGCCCCAGGAGTAGAACAGTGAACACATCGGACAGAGTGCCTGTTCACTTAGAGCTGTATTCCAGTGAGGGAGGCAGTAAGCAAATAAACATACAATATGTCAGGCAGTGATAAGGGCTGTGGGTAGAAATAAAGCAGGATGAGGGGATCAGGAGTGCCAGGGGAAAGAAGGGGGCTCCATTTTCTCTCTGTTGCTCATGGGCAACCTCTCTGATCAGGCAGCACTGGAGGAGAAACTCGAAAGAAGCAGGGGAACTAGCCATAGCCTGTCTGGGGCAGGGTGTTGGAGGCAGAGAGCACAGCAAGCTGGGAGACAGGATTGGATGTGGCACGGGCTTCTGGGACCAGGGCTTAGGAGACTGACCAGGTGTAGGAGGTGAGACCAGAGAGGTGGCAGAAGGCCAAGTCACCGAAAGCCCGTAGGCCCTGTGAGTGCTGCAGCTTTGACTTCAGGTGAGAGGGGAAGCCAGTGAAGAGTCATGACCAGAGGAGGGCACGACCTGTTTACGTGTTAATGGGGTTACTGTGGCCGTCCATGTTGACAGTGGATTAGAGGTGCCCCGTCTAGTACAGCAGCCACGTGTGGCCATGGAGCACTGGAAATCCAGCGGGTGCCAATGGAAATGTGCTGTGAGTGTTCAGATCACTGTACACGGGTTTTGGAGACTTCGTATGAAAAGAAAAACGTAAAATACCTCCATCTTTTTTTTTTTGGGGGGGGGACAGAGTCTTGCTCTGTCACCTAGGCTGGAGTGCAGTGGGGCAGTCTTGGCTCACTGCATCCTCTGCCTCCCAGGTTCAAGTGATTCTCCTGCCTCAGCCTCCCGAGTAGCTGGGATTACAGGCGTCCACCACCACGCCCGGCTTATTTTGTATTTTTAGTAGAGACGGGTTTTTGCCATGTTGGCCAGTCTGGTCTTGAACTCCTGACCTCAGGCGATCCACCTGCCTCAGCCTCCCAAAGTGCTGGGATTACAGGGGTGAGCCACCGTGCCTGGCCACTCCATCATTTTTTAATTGATTCCTGTTGAAATGCGAGTATTTTGGATATATTGGATTAAGTCAAATATATTGTTAAAATTAATCTCAATAATTTACTTTAGGACTTTACAATGTGGCTACTAGAAAATTTACAATTACATTTGTGGCTCTCATCATCTCTCTTGGGCAGTGCTGGACTAGAGAGTGGCAAGAATAGAAGCAAGGAGGCCGGCTGGAGCCCATCACAGAAGCAGGGGCACAAGATGATGGAGTCGAGCATCAAGGGTAGGAACAGTGTAGGTGTAAGAAGGGGTCAGATTCAGGAGACGCTATTGTGATAAAATACACATAACAACATTTACCATTAAGTACATTGACATTGCTATGCCATCACCACCATCCATCCACAGAACTTTTTCAGTTTTGCAAAACTGAAACTCTGAACCCATTAAACAGTAACTCCTCAGCCCCCACTCCCCCAGCCCCTGGCAAGCACCATTCTACCTTTTTGACTTGAATTGAACTATTCTAGGTAATGCACATAAGTGGAAGCATATAGTATTTTCCCTTTTGTGCCTGGCTTATTTCATTCAGCGTGATGTCCTCCAGGTTCATCCCTGTTGTAGCGTGCTCAAGATTTCTTTTTTAAGGCTGAATCATATGCCATTGTATGGATAAGCCACGTTTTGTTCACTGTTGAAACTTGGACTGCTTCCACCTCATGGCTATTATGAGTAACACTGCTGTGAACATGGGTGTACAGATGTCTGTTTGAATCTTTACTTTCAGTTCTTTTGGGGACATACCCTGGAGTGGAATTGCTGGATTGTATAGCAGTTCTATTTTTAATATTTCAAGGAACCTCCGTGCTATGCTCTATCCACCAACTGTGCACCACAGTTGGAGGCCAGACCACCAACTGTGGCATGACTCTGTGCAGACACAGAGCCAGTAGCTGTGCTGAGGCAATGGCGGGAAGGAAGAGGGGCTCTGATAGTCCTAAGAGCCAAGGAATCCAGAAGTCACCAGAATACCCCTCACAAGAGACTACTCAGCAAATGGAAACCTCAACAAGTGAATCTGAGAGACAGCCAGTGAAATTGGGAGCCGATTTCTCAGGCTCCAGTTTATAGAGGAGGCTTTTTTTTATTAATGGAAGCACAAAATCCTGCTTTATTTCTACCCACAGCCTTATCGCTGCCTGACGTATTATACGGCTGAGGAAAGATCAAGAATGTGAGGGAAACCCATGCCCTTAACAAAAACTTCTCTTCTGAAAGACAAGAGCTCACCCCAAGAAAAAAAGGACTGGGATTGAACAGAGCAGGAACACTTGGGGTAAAGGAGAAAAGCTTTAGATACAAGAAAGAGGTGGCCAATCCCAGAAAGTACAGGAGCAAGGACTACACAGACCGACCACAGCAGGGGAAAGGCCTCTCCAGCTGTGGAGTTCAGAAAGCTACTCTGACCCACAACTGCCCGTACGTAGAACATCCTGCTGAAAGAACAGGAAAAGATGCTGATCACACCCTGTACAAAGATATTGCGGGGAGAAAGTGAACCAGATAACCTCCCACAGATAATGAAAGCACACCAGAAAAACATTCCTCCAGGCAGATGAAAACTGTGTCCTGATGTTTCTGAGTGATCTCAAAGGAATTAGAAAAACGACAGAAACTACTAAAGAATGGTATAAATTAAAAATGTTTAAAAAGCTCAGGTTAAAAGTGACTAGTCAACAGAAAAATATGAAGAGAGTTGACAGGACTCAGGAGGAAATAAGAAAAAAAAAACCAGATATTTCTGAAATGAAAATCAGGAACACAAGAATGAAAATACATTAAGGTAAATAAGGAAGAGATAGGAGAAAAATGGAGTCAGAGGAGACTCAAACAAATAGAGAAGAAGTTGTCCAGAGAAGGGATAAAGAAGTTAGGCAAAGAAGATCAAACTTACGTATAATCGTAGTGCCATCCCACACCCTTCCCAGAAAAAAGCAGTGGAATAACAGATAATAGAAACTGTGATTCAGGAAAACTGATAAAATAAGCTTGAACTTGTATAGTGGAAGGACACATTGAATGTCTAGAAAAATCAACACAAAATAGTCGATATTGACATAAAATCTCATAAAACTGTTCAATTTTAAAGATTAAAAAATTATTCCAGGCTGGGCACAGTGGCTCACACCTGTAATCCCAGCACTTTGGGAGGCTGAAGCAGGCAGATCACTTGAGGCCAGAAGTTCAAAACCAGCCTGGCCAACATGGTGAAACTCTGTCTCTACTAAAAATACAAAACTAAGCTAGGTATAGTGGCACATGCCTGGAATCACAGCTACTTGGGAGGCTGAGGCACAAGAATCACTTGAACCCAGGAGGTGGGAGAAGGAGGTTGCAATGGGCCACGATCCTGAGAGATTCCTCCTCAAGAGAGGTATCAGACTTTGTGATACAGTAACAACATTTTAGAGTAACTTTTTGTTGGGGGTTGGGGAGGGTGTCTCCTGGAGTGCAGTGGCACAATCTCGGCTCACTGCAACCTCTGCCTCCCAGGTTCAAGCAGTCTTGTGCCTCAGGCCCGTGAGTAGCTGGGACTACGTGTATGTGCCACCATGCCTGGCTAATTTTTGTATTTTTTGTAGAGATGGGGTTGAGATTTCACCATGTTGGCCAGACTGATCTCGAACTCCTGACCTAGGGTGATCCACCTGCCTCAGCCTCCCAGAGTGCTGAGATTATACAGAGTAACATTTTTAAGATATACAATAAAAGAAGCTGTGACCCAGGGATTTTATACCCAGCCAAACTGACGTTCAGGTATAAAGACCATAGGCTGTAAAGAACATGCAGAGGAGTTCAGGGGCTCTCTCAGCTTCTGTGGAGTCTGCTGGAGAACAGACTCCAGATAACCAAGGAGTGATGGAAGCAGCTTGGGCCTAACGACTGGTGGTAGCATTGATTATATTTAGCTGTGGAATTAAGGTTAGATAGTAGGAATAGAGGTGACAGTATATAAATGTTATAATCTCTGATGATGGAGACATAGTACAATCAAAACCTGAGGTTAGGGAGGTATATGAGGCTGGGCTTGATGGCTCATGCCTGTAATCCCAACACTTTGGGAGGCCGAGGCAGGCGGGTCACCTGAAGTTGGGAGTTTGAGACCAGCCTGGCCAATATGGTGAAACCTCGTCTCTATTAAAAATACAAAAATTAGCCGGGCATGGTGGCACACACCTGTAATCCCAGCTACTTGGGAACCTGAGGCAGGAGAATTGCCTGAGCCCAGGAGGCAGAGGTTGCAGTGAGCTGAGATCACACCTCTGTACTCCTGCCTGGGTGACAGAGCAAGACTCCATCTCAAAAAAAAAAAAAAAACGGAAGGTATATGGAAAGATATGGAAAATAGAATAAGCTCACTGATTGCCTTATTAATTAAAAATATATCCTTTTGATCAGATGTTGGCAGAGAGGGAGGAAAGTGGGAAGAAAAGGCCTGCTAGCTAATTTCAATATTGCTTGTAGTAGGGAACTGACATCTTAAAAAGAGAGGACTAAGAAACTATATAATGATATTAGCATAAAATGTTACAGTATAAATATACACTTTCTAACAGGGAAAAAAACTTGAAAGGGGGAAAGGAGACAGTGAGATTAAGCATCTCTTTCAAGAAATTTTGTATAAAGGTCAACAGAGTAATGGAGGTAACTTCTGGGAGGGCTAGAATTTTAATTGAAGTTTAACATATATATCCAAAAGTAAACATACGGTGTACAACTGGATGAATCTTAGCAGAGGGAGCATAATAGGTGAACAGCACCCAGCCAAAGTGAGGGTGGGCTTTAGAGGAGTAACAGTGCAGTTCTGTGCTGGGAGAGCGACTCCTGCAGAGAAGGCAGGGGATGGGGTCCAGGTGCAGGCAGGTGGGCGGGCAGGAGGGCACCCGTGGAGGGCTCGGATTGTTCCCTGTTCTCAGTTAAACAGGAAGAAGTGTGGTTCAGTGGGATGCAAGGATGGCAAGTGGTTTTGGAGGTTTATGTGAGGTGGTTACCTCGGGGAAGAGGGGAGGACTGGACTAGGAATACATAAGATCCCAGGCAGCTCTGAGCACCCACCTGAGGCCAGTAAGCCCGAATGTAAGGTGGGACTTGAGCCAAGCTTCTGCCGAAAGCCGCCTGGTCCCTGAGCTTGGTGCCACGCTTGCCGCCTCGCCAGGAGCACACGTTGGCTGCACGCCACACACCCGGCGGTCTGGCCCCTTCCCTGGCCAGGAGCACACGTCTGCTGCACGCCACACACCCGGCGGTGTGGCTCCTTCCCTGGCACTGAGATGTGTGATCCTCCAAGGCACCTCACAGCCTGCGAGCCCGTGTGTGTCCTAGTCGGTCCCTCTGGGGGAGCTCAGGTGGGAAGCAGGATCTCCAGGCAGGCAGTCAGTCTGCGCTGGGGCCGTGCCCACTGGATTCAGGCAGCTTGTCGTCAACATTTGTTTAAGTGGACCCAAAATCCATTTCTAACATCACAGGGGCCAGAGGGGTAGACTGTGGGTGTGAACCTAGCAGAGTTCTCTCTTTTTTTTTTTCCTTTTTCCTTTTATATTAATAACAACTTTATTGAGGTAAAATTGATACGCAATACACTGTACATATTTAAGGAATACAATTTGGTACGTTTTAACAGGTATACGCCCATGAAGCCATCACCACAGTCAAGATCAGGGTTCTCTCAAAAAAACACAGAATGTGAAGTGTTTTAGGAGGGCGCCCAGCACCCTGGCAGCTGCCCCAGCCCTGGGTGGAGTGGGACCGTGGCCACGGGACCAGAGCCAGTGGGAGGGTGTGAGGGGTAGAGAGCCCAGCCCAGGCCAGAGCCCACCATGGGGAATCGACCACCTGCCCAGCCAAGAAGTTCAGGCAGTCAGCTGGCCCTGGTCGAGCTGGGCTCTCCCCCACTGGACTTTGCTTTCTGCCAAGACAGCATCACTCTCAGGCCGGTGTGGCACCATGATGGCAGCAGCAGGCCTTGCATGCTCCCTGGGTTATCCCAACACTCCTGCAGAAGGGCCACTCATTTCCTTGGTAGCAACCGGGTGACGCAGTCGCCCTAAACCCACCCTGAGCCCAGCCCAACATCACAGGCCATCACCCAGCCCTCTGTGCAGCCCAGGAAGCATGGGCCCGAGGGTGGGCAGGGGTGTGCCTCCACGTTAGGATAGGGCCTCTCCTGTCCTTTGCACTGACCCCCCTCAGAAAAGGGCCCCACAGGGTGAGCCCAGAACCCGCTCCCTGAGACTGACTCGCTGGTGAGAGTGGGGTTAATTACTGAGGACTCGGTGTCCAGCAGCCAGAGAGGAGCTGAGGGCTGAGCTGCAGCCACAGCCTCCTGCCCAGCCAGACAGGCTCTTCTCCGTGCACCGTTTGCCCCCATGGCCCTTCTTGCACCGGGCCCCGATCCAGCTCTGGATGGATGGGCGCATCAGAGGCCACCTGGCAGCACAGTTGTTAGGGCGTCCCCTTCCCTGTTTTATTTTCTAGTCTTCCCCAGCTCCTCAGGAGGGGTCGGAGCAGCCCGCCAGCCCAGCCTCTCCCCTCAGCAGCCGCCAGAGCTTCTGTGCGCAGGAGGCGCCAACCGCATCCCAGGGCCTGCTGAAGCTCTTCCAGAAAAACTCGCCCATGGAGGACCTTGGAGCCAAGGGGGTGAGCCCTGAGCGCCGGCACTCCAGCCTCCGTCAAGAGCGGAGCCCTCAGGAGGAAAGCTGGAGCCAGTCCTGGGCCTGGGCCTTCCCTCAGGGCCCTGGGCTGACCGCTGGGCAGTGCCCACCCAGGCTGCACCCTGGCAGCGTGAGACGGAGCAGGCACTCTCTGGGGGGCTCCGCTGACCTGCTCAGTGTGCTGTTTGCCACGGACTCCAGGCCTCTGAAGGGAAGGGCCCTCCCGCTGAGGAGCTGGTCTCCTGAGCCTTGGGAGGTGTGGCTCAGCGCGGCCTGGTCTTTCCCGGGAATTGCGAGGAAGGCCACACTTGCTGGCCAGCACTGTCTGGAGTGTTCACGAGGCTTCCGCGGTGGCCTAGGCCTCGGCACTCAGATGCGCTTCGGCCCCCAGGCTCCCTGATGCGCTTTTCCCTCAGGCCAAGGAGAAGATGAAAGAGGAGTCATGGCACATCCACTTCTTCGAGTACGGGCGTGGCGTGTGCATGTACCGCACAGCCAAGACGCGGGCACTGGTCCTGAAGGGTATCCCTGAGAGCCTCCGGGGAGAGCTGTGGCTCCTCTTCTCCGGTGAGTGGGGTGCAGCCACCCCCAGCCTCAGCTCAGCCAGTCAGTCCCCAAGCTCTCCCCGTGTGAGCTCGTCTGTCCTGAGCCGGCCTGGAGTTGGCCAGGCAGGAGCTCCCAGCTCTTTCACACAGCCGGGAGCCGGGCTCTGGGCTCTGGGCTCTGGCCCGGGACCCAACCAGAAGGAGCATCTCGAGGGACAGAGGCTGGGGAATGGGCACTCTGCTGGCCGGGTGGTGCCCTCCCGCCCACAGCGGGAGGGAAACAGGTCCCCTAGAGGCCTCCTTTCCTTGGGACAGGCTCTGACAGCATTCACACCCGTGGTTGCTGGAAGAGGCAAGTCAGCCACTTGAACTTTCGGGTAGAGCACCCTCCCCAGGAGCACAAGGGAAACCTTGCCTCGCAGCTTGTGCTTGACCCCAAGTCCCACCTCTCCTCTGTGGGGCACCCGGTGACTCCAACCTGCCCTGTTACTGCCCCCAAAGTACCAGAAGAAGGACAGAGACAGCTGGCACCCGTGTCTCCCCAGGGGCCTGGAATGAGATGGTGACTCACCCCGGGTACTATGCTGAGCTGGTGGAGAAGTCCACCGGGAAGTACAGCCTGGCCACAGAGGAGATCGAGCGAGACCTGCACCGCTCCATGCCCGAGCACCCTGCCTTCCAGAACGAGCTGGGGATTGCTGCCCTCCGGCGGGTGCTGACTGCCTATGCCTTCCGAAACCCCACCATCGGCTACTGCCAGGTAAGGGGCCTGACAGGGGCCCAGAGACAGCATCTGCCACCAGAGGTTCACAGGAGCAGGTCCCTGTGGTCCCAGGCCTGTGTGGTGACCCTGCCTTGTGTCCCAAGGAAGGAGCCCAGCAGAAAAAGATGTAATTTAAAAACAGTATTAATTGCTCATCGCATCCCCATGCCGAATAGAAGTCGTCGTCTTTGTACTTTTGTCTGAGTCCCAGCAGCATTTGATTGTTGTATGTGTTTGGTGAAACAGGCACATACAGAACATAAAATGTCCCATCTTCACTGTTTTTAAGCGTGCAGCTCAGTGCTCTAAGCACATTCACACTGTTGCACGCCCGTCACCGCCATCCATCCCCAGACCTCTCTTCATCTTGCAAAACCACAGCTCTGTGCCCATTAAACATGCCCCGATCACCATTAGCAACCACTGTTCTACTTTCCATTGCTATGAATTTGACTACTGTGTCTCATATAAGTGAAATAACACAGTATTTGCCTTACTGTGCCTGGCTTATTTCACTTAGCAAGATATCCTCAAGGGTCATCCATGTCATATGAATGTGTCAGAATTTCTTTCTCAGGCTCCATCATATTACATAGACCACATTTTCTTTTCTTTTCTTTTCTTTTTTTTTTTTTTTTTTTGAGATAGAATCTCACTCTTGTTTCCCAGGCTGGAGTGCAGTGGTGCAGTCTCAGCTCACTGCAACCTCTACCACCCAGGTTCAAGCGATTCTCCTGCCTCAGCCTCTTGAGTAGCTGGGATTACAGGCATGTGCCACCATGCCCAGTTAATGTTTTGTATTTTTAGTAGAGACGGGGTCTCGCCATGTTGGCTAGGCTGGTCTTGAACTCCTGACATCAGGTAATCCACCTGCCTTGGCCTCTTAAAGTGCTGGGATTACAGGCGTGAGCCACTGTGCCTGGCCAGTATTTCTATTTTTAATTTATTTTAAATTATTATTATTATTTTTAGAGACAGGGTCTTGCTATGTTGTCCAGGCTGGTCTCAAGCTCCTTGGACCAGGGGATCTTCCGGTCTCAGCCTCCCAGGGCATGTACCACCACACCCAGCTAATATTTTTTTTTTAGACATGGGGTCTCACTGTCTTGCCCAGACTGGCCTCAAACTCCTAGGCTCAAGTGATCTTTCCGCCTCAGCCTCTCAAAGTGCTGGGATTATAGGCGTGAGCCACCAGCCACCATTCCTGGGCTTTTTTTTTTTTTTTTTTTTTTTTTGAGACAGGATCTCCTTCTGTTGCCCACACTGGATCTCAGTGGCATGATCATGGCTCACTGCAGCCTCCACCTACTGGGCTCAATCGATCCTCCCACTTCAGCCTCCTGGGTAGCTGGAACTACAGGTACACACCACCACGCCCAGTTACTTTTTGTATTTTTTATAGAGATGGGGTCTCACTGTGTGGCCCAGGCTGGTCTTGAACTCCTGGGCTCAAGTGATCCGACCTCCTCAGCCTCCTAAAGTGCTAGGATTACAAAGTGTGAGCTACTGTGGCCTGGCCTATTTTTAATTTTTTGAGGAACTCCATACTTCCTCCCCAGCAGCTGCACCATTTTATATTCCCACCAGCAGTTCACAAGGGTTCCGATTTCTCCACATCCTCATCAACACTTGCTATATTCTGTTGTTGTTAGAGTGATGGGCATGAGGGTATCTAATTGTACTTTAGGTTAGCATTTCTCGCAGCTTTTGATTTTAAATCTAGGCATTTTCCTGGCCAAGTCATATGGCTTTCTGTTTGCCTTAAAGGTCTTGTTAGCAGCTAGGGCTGTGTGTGGTCCTAGTTGTGCACCGAGTGGGTGGCCTTGGTGTGGGGCTCTGGCCTTGTGGCTCACCTCCACATCAGCTTGGTCATAATCCCACCTCCAACACCCAACACCACTCCGCAGAAGTGTGATGTGTTGATGTTCACCTTCTCTGGTTTCCCAGTGCCTTCTGACCCAGTTTGAAGGAGTTGGCAGACTCTCTGTTCCATCAGTTTCCTACAAATTGCCTTTTGACATTTCCCAGAGTTGGGTAGGGGCAGTTTCTCATTACCGGATGCCCAGCCCTCCTGAAGAGGCAGATTTGCTTGTAGGAGGAGGCCATTAATCTTCACCACGAGAACCTGAAAAATAATAAAAATAACAACAACAAAAAGAAGATCATGTGGGCCCTTGCAGGGAGGGGTGGCTGGGAGGGGTGGGGAGAGACAGTTTTATTTGCTGGCCAGCAGTGCAAGCCTTCCCCGGCTGTCTCTGTGCCCGGCAGGCAATGAACATCGTGACCTCGGTGCTCCTGCTCTATGGCAGTGAGGAGGAGGCCTTCTGGCTCCTGGTGGCCCTGTGCGAGCGCATGCTGCCCGACTACTACAACACCAGGGTGGTGGGTGAGTGTCCCCGGGTGCTGCCTCGCCTGGGTCTCCAGGTGCCTGCTGGTTCCATGAGGGTGGCAGCCCTTCCCAGGCCAAGCTCCAGGCTTCACGTGGGTTCCCTAGGAGTTAGAGGGTAGTATTACACATTCGGTGGTTTATAAAAGTCCCCTCAGAGCCTAAATTCCTATCCATCTAACTTCCTGTCAACTTTTTGATTATGGAAAATTTCAAACATCAAAACTAGAGAGTATATATCCCCCATGTAACCTGATGCTCAACTTTACTGAACTCATATCCAGTGAAATCTGTTATGAAGTGGAAATGGACTTGCAAGAGTGTTTAATTAGGTTCATATTTAAGCATGTTATCCTGTCCTTCCCCTGCTGTCTGGTGTTTGGAGTTACCGCTCTTGGGGTCCTTCAGAGCTGCGTCTATTCACAATCATCAGGATGGGACAGAGTCATTGAGGGTGCTGTTTACCTCTCATGCCTTACGGAGAAATCAGTATTTCCCCAAAATAAAATTCAAGTGTAGTAGAAGAAATAGTTATTTCGCCCAGTGGTTTGGGAGCTGTAGAGAGACTTGAAGGGTTTTTTCGTCCTTGTTTTCTCCCAGCACTCCAAGTCTCCCTCAGCCCTCACTGCACAGCTGGCAGGGCTGGAGTGGCCAGGGCTCGTACGCTGCAGGTGAGGGCCCACCCAGGCCACAGGGTGGGCTCACCATCAGCCTCGCTCATCCTGCCCGCAGGAGCCCTGGTGGACCAAGGCATCTTCGAAGAGCTCACGAGAGACTTCCTGCCGCAGCTCTCGGAGAAGATGCAGGACCTGGGGGTGATCTCCAGCATCTCGCTGTCCTGGTTCCTGACCCTCTTCCTCAGCGTCATGCCCTTCGAGAGCGCCGTGGTCATCGTCGACTGCTTTTTCTATGAGGGCATCAAGGTGATCCTGCAGGTGGCCCTGGCCGTCCTGGACGCCAACATGGAGCAGCTGCTGGGCTGCAGCGACGAGGGCGAGGCCATGACCATGCTGGGCAGGTGACATGCCGGGTTCCTTCTCCTGCTGGGGGCTCACAGCAGAACCCCTCACCAGCCCCGGGCACTGTCCAGTCAGCCTGAAGTGACTGTGCCCACCAAGTGCCAGGCTGCAGCTGGACCCGGGGGTGCTCTGGGGTCAGGAGGCGGCTCCTTTCTAGTGGGAGATGAAGCAGCGCTCAGTGATAGGTGCCAGGAGGAGTAAAGCAGGCACTGCGGGCAGAGCATGCTGGCTGGAGGGCCACCGCTCAGATGTAGGGTTGGAGATGCTTCCCCTGAGGGCAAACCAGAGCCAAGATCCAGTGACCACAATTCCAGTTGGTGGCACAGCTGGGCATTTCATGTCCACCAGGTGGTCCCGGTCATACCTCTCCAAGCTCAGCTGCATTGCAGCCCCCATGCCCTGGAGGGAGCAGGCCTGCCCTGGGCCCGCTGGAACAGCTGGATGAGCTGATGTCCCACTAGTCACGCCAAATGTCCAGGGTCATCCCAGCCCCTCCACCCCCTCCTTAGTCCCCACATCCCATCTCTTGCAGATTCTGTCTGGGATCCAGCCCCTTCCCTTCAGCCTGCTGCCTCAGCCCAGGCCCACCATGCCCTTTCCCTGGGGTTCCCCTCTCAGTCTTTGACCTGCCTGCATCCCATGACTCTGATCAGACCTGGCCCTGCCCCTTCCCTGGGTCCTCTGTACAAAGGCACTGTCTGAGCCTCCAGCCTGGCCTTCAAGCCCCGGCCCCTCCTGGCTACACTCTGCCCTGCCCTGAGCTCTGTGCAGTCCCACCCTCCTACATAGCGTATTTGTCCGGACTGGAATGCCCCCAGCCCCCAGGAACAGCCTGGGACTCTGCCACTTGCCCATGGCCAGGCCAGGTGCTGCCTGGGACTCTCTAGATCCAGCAGGGTTGTCACCTCCCTACTGTGGGCCTAAGTAGCTTTTGGTCCACACTGATGTTAAGATACTCAGCCTGTGGCCGGAGTCTGTGGCTGGTTTTCCTGCCGCTTCCTACAATAGGCGGATAGGGCCTCCTCCAGAGCAGGGGTCTGACTGGGGATATGACCAGGGCTATGGGCATGGGGAGTCAGCTACCTCCTCCCACCTGAGTGTCAGGCTCAGCCCAGGGACCCAGAGAGGCCATGAACTCTGGCGGGGCTAGGTCAGCTGACAGAGGTAGGGCTCCATCCCCAGGACTGTGTCCCTAGAGAAGCTGATTCCCTGGGCTGCAGCAGGCCTCCCCACACCTGACTTTCTCCTGCGACTCAACCTTTGATCCCTGAATCTTCTTGGCCAGGGCGAGAAGGTCCCACATCCCCAGGGCCCCGCCAAAGGGAGGAAGCTCGTCATCCTTCCAACTGGGTAGGATCTGGGGTTATAAGGCGTTCCTGCCCAAGGGACCCCCCCACTGACTAAGAAAACAGCCCAGCGTCCTCAGGGTTAGTGCTCAGGCCTTGTCGGGGGCACTGCCCTGTAGAGGGCTCCCCAACTTGCTGGGGGCGCTGCCAGGGCACACCTCTGCCCTCCTGCAGGGTGCCCAGTCCTCTGCACACTCCTTATTAGGAGTCTGCATAAAGATTGGGTCCCTCCGCATCACCCAGCTGTGGGAAGGAGGCTCCCTCTGCCTGGGCGTGGTCTGGACTGTTGTCCTCTGTCCTTTGCAGATACCTGGATAATGTGGTCAACAAGCAGAGTGTCTCTCCTCCTATCCCGCACCTCCGTGCCTTGCTGAGCAGCAGCGATGACCCCCCTGCAGAGGTGGACATCTTTGAGCTCCTGAAAGTGTCCTATGAGGTCAGCACCCAGTGGGGCCATTTTGGCCAGGCCGCTCCATCTGGCATGTGGGTTGGGGTGGCTATGGGCAGGTGGTGGCCCTCTGCCCTGCAGTTGGCTTGATCTCACCAAGTCACCTCTCCCTATAGAAATTCAGCAGCCTGAGGGCCGAAGACATTGAGCAGATGCGGTTTAAACAGAGGCTGAAAGTGATCCAGTCCTTGGAGGACACGGCCAAGAGGAGTGTGGTATGGGTGCCAGCAGGGCTGGGCAGGGGCTGGGCTGGGGGGGCAGCAGTGCCTTCCCCACAGAGCAGGGTGGGTACAGGGCTCCACCGCACCCAGTCTCCTACACTGCTTTGGTATGTACATCATGGTAGGATTCATGGGACCGGGATCCAGGGGTGTAGGTGGGAATGTGGGGAGAGGTTCCAGTCACTTTTCTCTGCTGGTGGATGTGTCACCGGGAAGCTTCTCAGATGGCTCCCACCCTGAAAGCCACATGCCCAGCCCTCTGGGCCGAGCCCGCCCAGCCTGGCTTCCCATGTGTTCCCTGCCCCACTCCCAGGTAGCAACATGCCGCCATCCTCCGCACACCCCAAATGGCATGTGTCTGCCACAAGCTGCTGTTCTCATCTCTAGAGGGGCCAGGCCCTCCCTGCCACCCTGTGCTGCAAGACCTGTTTGTGGTCTCTGCCCCCAAAGGCAGGGACTTCCTCCATTGTTTCCACATTCCCAGCCCTCCTGCAGGCTTGTAGGACACTGTAAGGACATTGGGTCGCAGCACCACAGACTGACTGCTTTGGCCAATTAAAGTACAGGAGCATTGGCTGGCAGGTTCTCGGCCTCCTTCCACAGAGCTGGCACCAGGGTCTCTGCAGGGATCCAGATGACGGGAGCCAAATGAGTATCCCTCACTCTGCGACCTCAGCTGCACGTTGAGGACAGAGGCTCCCCCACGCCCATCCTGGGAAGGGGCCCGGAGTGTGAGAGAGAGGCTCCCCCACGCCCATCCTGGGAAGGGGCCCGGAGTGTGAGAGAGAGGCTCCCCCACGCCCATCCTGGGAAGGGGCCCGGAGTGTGAGAGAGAGGCTCCCCCACGCCCATCCTGGGAAGGGGCCCGGAGTGTGAGAGAGAGGCTCCCCCACGCCCATCCTGGGAAGGGGCCCGGAGTGTGAGAGAGAGGCTCCCCCACGCCCATCCTGGGAAGGGGCCCGGAGTGTGAGAGAGAGACTCCCCCACGCCCATCCTGGGAAGGGGCCCGGAGTGTGAGAGAGAGGCTCCCCCAAGCCCATCCTGGGAAGGGGCCCGGAGTGTGAGAGAGAGGCTCCCCCACGCCCATCCTGGGAAGGGGCCCGGAGTGTGAGAGAGAGACTCCCCCACGCCCATCCTGGAAAGGAGCCCGGAGTGTGAGCTGAGTGGTAGGTGGGGGGCCAGGGATGGGCTGTGGGCCTCGCTCTCTCCCGAAGGGTCCGCCCTTGAGTGCTGGGCCACTGAGAGGGCGGTTCACACCCTTGCCCTTGTCTGCCGAGGATGCTCTCACAGAGTGCCGTACTTCTGTGCCAGGAGCTTGTGATCCAGCTATATACCCTGTTTCTCCTTCCTTCTAGGTCCGAGCTATACCTGTGGACATTGGTTTCTCCATTGAAGAGCTGGAGGACCTTTACATGGTGTTTAAGGTGACAGCTCAGAGCCAGGGCAGGACCCGTTCCTAGCTTCCTAGCTTCCTGCCAGAAAAGAAATGGATCTAAGAGTATCCTCTTAGAAGTAGATAGAAATAGGGAATAGAATAGAAAAACAGAAACAGATCTAAGTGCATCCTCAGATGCAGTTGCCATGAACCTCCTGTGGTAGAATCGAATCCCTCTTGGAGTTTAGGCAGGACCTCTTAAATGGCAGCAAATCCATTCAAGTCATCTTACACAGAAGAGGGAATACATTGCCCCTGTATTGCTAGACTGAAAAGTCTAGCAATGCACAGCTTCAGGCATGGCTGGATCCAGGTGCTGAAATGTGCCGTCAGGCTTCCCCATCTCTGATGTCCTCTGCACTGCTCTTCCTACACCATGCCAGGACTGTCGTCACAGCTCCAGGGTCATACTCTCTTCTCAGTAATCCCAGTGCAAAGAGAATTTTTCTTTCCCTTGTGCTTTTAGCAAAAGACCCAGCCTTAATGGTTGGAATCTGCCTTTCTGTTGTTGTTGCCAGTTCCCGTCCACCTCTCCAGCTGCCTCAGGTTCCGTGCTCAAGGTGGCTGCTGCGCTGTGGCCCTAGCGTCACAACAGTTGAGCCAGCTCTGCCTGCCTCCTAGAGAGGTCATAGGAGCGAGAGCAAGCCTCAGGCCTCTTGTTTCCCTGGAGCCCTGCCAGGAAGGCTCAGCCCTTCTCTGGGGCCAGCAGACCAGCTCTGCCCCCTGCAGGCTGCCAAGGACTCTGTCTCTCAGCCAACCCCCTCCCCATCTGTTAACAAGGGGCTGATGACAGCCTGAGAGCTTTCGGGAGGTGCTGCAGTGTCTGGCCCGTGCTTACCGCCCCAGGGCTCCGCAGGCTTGGACAGAGGGGGAGGGTGGACACACCACCAGCCTAGGGGTCCCCTCGACCCACAGGCTTAGCGGCTGGACCGTCTCACCAGACCGTGTCCCACAGGCCAAGCACCTGGCTAGCCAGTACTGGGGGTGCAGCCGCACAATGGCCGGCCGTCGGGACCCCAGCCTGCCCTACCTGGAGCAGTACCGGATTGATGCCAGCCAGTTCCGGGAACTCTTTGCCAGCCTGACACCCTGGGCCTGTGGCTCCCACACACCTCTGCTGGCAGGGCGCATGTTCAGGCTCCTGGACGAAAACAAGGACTCGCTGATCAACTTCAAGGAGTTCGTGACAGGGATGAGTGAGTGCCTGCAGGGCCTACCAGGGGCTTGACCCTCCCTCACCCTTTCCCAGGAAGCCTCCAAATGCCAGCATCTCCTGTCTGTTCCCCCTGCAGCAAGTAGGGGGCAGCTTGAGCCCCTGGCCCTAGATACGGGAAGAACAGTTTACCCACGGGAGCCGAGATGGGGTCCAGCAGGAGCCTTGCCCGCTCCCCTCCCTCATGCAGTCTGGGGCTGCTAGAAGCTGGTCTGCCAGCCCCAGGGAAGGGCTGAGCCTTCCCAGCAGGACGCCAGGGAGACAGGAGATCTGGGACTCACCCTGTGACCTCTCCAGGAGGGAGTTGGGCAGCACAGGCTGTGAAGAGGGTCCTACTCGGACCCCCTGGAAGGGGCTCTGCAGCCATGTTGCCAGACCCAGCCCTCCCTGGCCTTCTCCACAGGCGGGATGTACCACGGGGACCTGACAGAGAAGCTCAAGGTGCTCTACAAGCTACACCTTCCCCCAGGTGAGAGCCTCCTGCCCACTCCCCAGCCAGGGTCTCCCACTTGTCCAGAAGTTCAGCTGCAGAGGACAGGCCTCTGTGAGACTGTGGGGCCTCGAGGGGGCACAGCAGCGTCGCAGGCTGGAGGTTCACATTGGAGGAGAGGGAGCGGGAGCTTGAGCACTTCACAGAGGTCTGAGAGCAGGGCCTTGGCCTGGGAAGGGACGTGGAGGAGAATCCCATGGGTGACCGGGCACTGCTGGGTACAGAACTCCCACCGAGGAGGCAGCTGGACCCAAAACCCACTAGGAGGGCCATGAGTGGAGCTTCAGGGCTGGAACCGAAACTGCTGCATTTATCTGTCAAGTTTCTTAAGGGTTTATTCCCAGAGTTTCAGCTAGAGAATCCTGTCACATGGCCATGAGGAGGGGCCACTTCTCTCTGGCCTCTCAGTGGTGCTGTAGCCTAGTGGGGCTGCACTGGCGACAGGCTGTCTGTGCAGGGGGCAGGGCTCAGCAGGAGTGGCTGCATGGACAATGCTCCAAGGAGGGGTCATCTCCCTCATCACAGAAGGAAACAAAGGCGCAGGCAGGTGGAAATCCTGGGCTGGGCACTCTGCTGTGGCTGGACCTGCCCCAGGTCCCTGCTGTCGCTTTGCCATCTGAGGTTAGCAGCTGCCCTCAGAACCGACCCCGGGGATGTTTAGAATACTGGGGCTGAGCTTCACCCGAGGAGATTCTCACTTGATTGCCTGTGATGGGGCCCAGACCTGTGGTTTTTAAAGCTGGCAGGCCATTGCTCTGTGCCTCCAGAGCTGAAGGCTCTTGACATAGCTGTTCTCGTTTGTGGCTGGCTCACCAGAGAGGCCGTGGTAGGACAGACCCCACTGGGCCTGGTCCCAGGGTTGAGAGCATGCGGGGCTACCCTGAGACTCCTGAGCCTCCTCAGCCTGCCCTGCCCTGTCCTGTCCAGACACAGAGAACACTTGGGCTCTGCTGGGCTTGTGGCCCATGCCCGCTACACTCACCCAGGACCATGCGATCCGCAACCCTGGGTACTGCTTGGTGACCTCCAGCAAAGACTGCACTGAATGAGGCCGGCCAGCACGCACAACGCGGCCCGACCTCTGAGCTACCCAAAGGGAGAGCAGCAAGTTGCCTGTGCGTGGCTGGTTCCTGTGCGCCCATAGGAGCATGAAACGCCCCCAAAGGGCCCACTGGCCAGATGGTCACTGGGGCAGGCGGGCAGCTGCCATTCACTGGACTCCTAATTGTGTTGATTGGATTTTTACCTGGGACATGTATTTCCTTTTCAAACACAATGTCAAAGTCAGGAAAGCGGCTGGATGCAGTAGGAGGCCCAGGCGGGTGGATCACTTGAAGTCAGGAGTTGGAGACCAGCCTGGCCAACACGATGAAACCTGTCTCTACTAAAAATACAAAAATTAGCTGGGCGTGGTGGTGTGTGCTTGTAGTCCCAGCTACTTGGGAGGCTGAGGCGGGAGAATCACCTGAACCCGGTAGGTGGAGGTTGCAGTGAGCCGAGATCGTGCCATTGAACTCCAGCCTGGGCAACAAGAGCAAAACTCCAGGCTGGGTGCGGTGGCTCACGCCTGTAATCCCAGCACTTTGGGAGGCTGAGGTGGGAGAATCACTGTAGCCCAGTAGGCGGAGCTTGCAGTGAGCTGAGATCATGTGACTGCACTGCAGCATGGGTGATAAAGTGAGAGTCCATTAAAAAAAAAAAAGCTGAGGAAAGTAACAAATAACCAGAACCAATCATCACCATCAAAACTATTACCGGGCACTGTCATGGGCAGGTGCTGGGACTGGCCAGGCTCGTGGGCAGGGAAAGCAAGGCTCTGCCCAGGGCTGGAGGGAACTTACTCTGAGAGGATCTCCTTGTTTCCTCCTGCCCTCACTCTGCCTTCTCTCCAAGCACAGCTCTGAGCCCAGAGGAAGCCGAGTCAGCCCTGGAGGCGGCCCATTATTTCACAGAGGACAGCTCCTCAGAAGGTGAGCGGCCACTGGAACACCCGACATGCCCAGCCAGCACTCTGCAGCCACCGCCGCCTTCCTGTGGGGCTCGGGCAGTGGCCAGCAGTCCCACCTGGGCTCAGGGAGCAGGCCGCATGGGGTTCTCCCCAGGGGACCACGGGCTGGGCTCTGCCATGCTGGCGGGGGCTGGGGCCGCCCCCTGTGGATGTCCTCACTCCTGTTTCTCTTGTGTCTCTGTCTTCCTGGACCTTGGCTCCTCCCCACTCTGCCCCTCTGCCTCTCCTCTGCTGTCCCTTCCAGCATCTCCTCTGGCCTCAGATCTGGATCTTTTCCTGCCCTGGGAGGCTCAAGGTCAGTCCCTGGAAGGCAGGGGCGCCCCCTGTACCTCCTAACACTCTTCCTGCACTATCAGGAAGCCTGGAAGCTCTTTGTCCCAGGGACCTCTCTGGGACTTCATCCTCTGGGGCATAAGTTCTGAGAAGGACCCAGAAGCAAGCCACTCCTCTGCACCGCCTCCGTGTCTGCTGTAGGTGGGCGGTAAATAAGGCCCCCACACTAGGCGCCAAGCAGGCCCAGGGCAAGGCCTCCACAGCCACATGTTAGAGACATTCTGTCTTCCTGTGAGTAGGAAACAAATACAAAATGCTGTCATTGGAGCGTGTGAAAGACACAGTGTGGCTGAGTGGGGGCTGGAAAGAATAGTGGATGCTTTCCTAGGAAAAATCTTCATGTTCCACGTCACGTTTTTTGTTAAGGAAAAACACGCATGTTGAGTGCCTGTTAGAACTCATCCCTGTGCTATGTTTAAAGCCTGTTGGGAGCATCTGATCCCAGGTGATGGGAGCATGCTAGGCCCTGGGCTTTCGCAGTCGAGCTGGTGACATGCAGCACACTTGCAAAACCGACCATAATGCCACCTGGTGGTTTCACATGGGGGATAATGCACACCAAGGAACCGACTCAAAAGAGAACCAAAAATAGTGTGTACCAAGATGCCCATGGCAGTCCTGGTGACAGTGGCAGAGGCTGACTTGAGCTTGAGGACCTTGATTTCAAGGACAGAAACTACAGAAGCAGGTACACCTTCTGTTGTACATGGAACCAGCAGGCCACTCTAGGCTTGTCCCGCATGCTTCTGGGAGCGGCATGTTGGTGCAGAGCCCTGGCCTCAGACCGCATGTGGCCCCCAGGAAGCAGGGCCTCCATTCCAGGGTGAGTTGCCTGAGCCCAGAGAGGTGTGCCCTTCACTGCCACCAGACAGCCAGCGAGAGCAGCTCAGAACTGGGGTGCTGCCGACCTGCCTGAGGTGCCCCCACCAGCCACACTGCCTTTGGGGAACAGCTCCAGGAGAGCTGGTCGGCTGCTTCTCTCCCCAGGTGCATGTTCCCACGCAGGGAGTATAGTGCGCGCCAGTTCCGGCAAATGTCCTCCCCGAAACGCTGCACCAAGCACAGGAGCTGTGCACAGACCACCCCTCAGTAACAGGCACAGCAGGCGCGGGTGGAAGGGGTCATTAGGGTTCCCCTGAGTTCTAGCAGGAACATTCCCCAGAGTTCTAGCAGGAACTATAGAATTCGTTAGTCCTCAGACTGGTCTATAGCCCTCATCATTGTTCACGTCAAAACCAGCATGTTGAGACTTGTATTCATTTGAAAAAAGGAATTGAGGGTTTGGCGGCCTTTATTTTAACCTGACCAAGTGAGGGAATGCTCAGGCCCTTTTGCTCTGGTGCCATAGGGCGGGGCTGGGCGGGCCAGGCAGGAGGTGTGGCATGGGAGACCTGCTCCCCAGGGCCTGGCCTGGGGCTGGCTGTACAGAAACACAGACTACATCTCAAGGACCCCAGGAGCTTGCAGTCCCAACAGCAGAATGTTATTCATGTTCTTTTTATTTTTGCGTTTGTCCAGAAGCACTACCACAGGAAGAGCAAGAAGGAAGTGGAAGTGAGGAGAGAGGAGGTACAGGCCATTCTCTGCCGCTGTTCTTAGAGACCCCAGCGTTGAGGCACCCTTGCTTGCTGGTCTTTTCCCCAGTCACTGCCAGGGAGCCCCCTACCCCGGGAGATGGCGGATGCGTCCCCCGATCAGGGAGCAGGCCTCGGGATGCACAGGAGGCTCCACGCTCTCCACCAGCCCCACGGGCACCCAGCCAGCCCTCTCTTGCCAGCTTCTCTCCAGCTGCCCTGTGACTCCCCATCTGAGAGAAGACATTGTGGATCATTGTCATCAGCTTAGGTCCAACCACTGCAGCAATTTAGGGAAAACCTGTGGCTGTTCTGGGTTTTTTTCCCATGACCACCTTCCCAAACGCCAGGGTGTTTTATGATAGGGCCCTGGTAACTCCATGCCAGAAAACACCCAACTCTTCCTCTCCCTGCTGTCAGCCCGCAGCCGTCTCACATGACAAAGATTAATCTCTTTCCTCCTAACCTGCAGAGGAGAAGGGGACCAGCTCTCCGGACTATCGGCACTACCTTCGAATGTGGGCCAAGGAGAAAGAGGCTCAGAAGGAGACGATTAAGGATCTTCCCAAGATGAACCAGGTAGGCTCCACTGGAGCCCACAGTAGACATTTCTGGAGAGTTCTGACCAAGACTGGGCCCTAACATCACCGCACCTGCACTGCAGCATCTCCTGGTGGGTGGGAAGGCTCCTCCCTGCCTCTAGAGCCCGTTAGTCCTGGTTGCCAGTCAGCGATGATTCCAGAAAGACAAGAGGCCAGTTGCTCCAGGGCCTTGTATAGGGGCATGTTTCCAGATTGAGTGAGTGTCTGTGAACCAGGAGCCAGAGGCTTGTAGGCTACCTTTGACAAGATATGCGTTCCACACCCTGCACCCTCCCAGCCCTGCCCAGGGCTCTGCACACGCAGGCTCACATGCATCCTCCACACCCGCTCTTCATTCACTGGTCTCGCAGATCAGAAGCATGGTGTCTTGCCAAGGGTCTCAAAGCCAGAAAATGGGAGACCCCAGCTCCAAACTGCAAGCGTTGAGCCAAAGGCAAGTCTGGAGCACCAGCCTGACCATGGCCCTCGGGCCAGACCCACGGTCTAGCTGTGCCCAGTAGGGGACCCTGCAATCTGACCACTCCCCCAGCAGGCCTGGAGGGTGGGCACCACGTGCGATGAGGATTCTTCCCATTCTTGGGCCAGGAGGCCTAGACGTGTGGCTTCAGGACCTAGCACCCACCCTCCCCAGCACCCCCCTCCCCAGGATCCCCCTCCCCAGCTGACCCAGGCTGTATTTTCCTCACCATCACCTTCTAAAGAGCTTCATTCAAGGGCTGAGTTGAGGCTGCTTCTGATTAAAACCAAAGGTGATTCTAAAACACAACGAAGTCCTTGTACTGACTGGATTTAGAGTCGTGGTAGAAATCCATCTCCCTGTGCCAACAGAACGGACCTAGAAACAGGGAGGCCCCAGGTCAGACCAGCATGCTCTGAGTGCCAAGAGAAAGGCAGCTGGAGGGGAAAGCCTTTTGAAGAGCTGTGTGGCCTCTCTGAGCCTGTGTCCTGATCTGTGAGATGGGACTGATGAGGCTCATGGAGATGATTAGCAAGACGGCAGCCAACATCCTTAGGCTGGTGCTTGTCATCAGTTTGGCTAATATGGACCCCGTCTGACTGGTCTTTTACCATCTCCCTGTTCTTCTGTTTTTCTCCCTAAAAGGAGCAGTTCATTGAGCTGTGCAAGACGCTTTACAACATGTTCAGTGAAGACCCCATGGAGCAGGACCTGTACCACGCCATCGCCACCGTGGCCAGCCTCCTGCTCCGCATCGGAGAGGTGGGGAAGAAGTTCTCAGCCCGCACAGGCAGGAAGCCCAGGGACTGTGCCACTGAGGAGGACGAGCCACCAGCACCCGAACTGCATCAGGACGCAGCCAGGGAGCTTCAGCCCCCAGCTGCAGGAGACCCCCAAGCCAAAGCAGGCGGAGACACACACCTCGGAAAAGCCCCACAGGAGAGCCAGGTGGTGGTGGAGGGGGGCAGCGGCGAGGGACAGGGCTCACCCTCCCAGCTGCTGTCTGACGATGAAACCAAAGACGACATGTCCATGTCCTCCTACTCGGTGGTCAGCACGGGCTCCCTGCAATGTGAAGACCTTGCAGACGACACGGTGCTGGTGGGCGGGGAGGCCTGCAGCCCCACAGCGCGCATCGGCGGCACCGTCGACACCGACTGGTGCATCTCCTTTGAGCAGATCCTGGCCTCCATCCTGACGGAGTCCGTGCTGGTGAACTTCTTTGAGAAGAGAGTGGACATTGGACTCAAGATCAAGGACCAAAAGAAAGTGGAGAGACAGTTCAGCACCGCCAGTGACCATGAGCAGCCTGGAGTTTCCGGCTGATGCCTGCAGCTGTGAGGCCTGGCCCAAGGTGTCATCAGTGGGGCTGGCCTCATCTCCTCCTGCCTTTCCTCCCTTATCAGTTTCTCTTTAAAGGTGTGCCCCTCCTGCTCTCCCAGGAGCAGTGAGTTGTGAGTGGAAAGAAGGCTGGTGCAGACCCAGCTGCCTTAGACAGATTCCCTGGGCCTGCATCTCCTGGCGCCGGCTGCTTCTGGGCCCAGGAAGAGGCTGTGGCTCCCACCTTCCTTACACCTGGTGGGAGCCCGCCTCGCACCAGCTGCACCTGCCTAGCATTACAGGCTCTCAGATCTGCCCTTGCTTGCCTCATACCTCTGTGCTCCACACTGCGGCCAGGCCAGCTGAGTCCCTCCATCCGTGGATGCTTTCCTGCAGCTATGTGGTATGGGGGTCATTCCTGCCTCTTGGCACCAGGTTGGGGGGCATGTGCTTGTTGGGCACCAAAGTGATGGAACCCTCAGGTGCTCTCCGGGAGCCTGAACCTCCTGACTGAGGAACATGGGCAGAACATGTTTATTGCACAGAGTGGGCGCTGCGCACAGGCGTGGCTGTACACGTGCTCTCAGCTCATCATCCTTTCCAGTAACTTTAAAAAAACATCCCTCAGGTCCTGATATATTTCCTTGGATTCATTTCACTTGGCTAGAAATTACACTGTGCTCAATGCCTTAATAAATCCCTGAAAGAAATAAAAACCACTGTGTGCAATGCCTTGCTGTGGCCCCCAACCACTGCTTAGGCCTCCCAACTTCTCCCCAGGCCAAGTATGGGGCCCTGGCTGTGTTCTGGAAGTTCAAGACACTTAGTCCTCCACAGTGGGTGGAAGAGTGCAAGGTCTGCCAGGTCAGATGGAGACGCAGAACCTGCTGGTGCAAGCTGGGCAGGTCCTGACCAACCTGCATCAGGGGATGCCCTGAGCTCCACAGGTCTTCATGGGCAGGGGTTGTGGGTCCTGGTGAAGGAAGTGCATCCTCAGGCCTGGGCTGTAGCAAGCTGTCTGCCCTTGGGTTCAAGAACCAGACTGTGGAGCCAAAGGTGACCGCAGGGGGCCCCAGGGCTGGAGCCACAAGGATACCCTCACTTTGCATGAGGAGCTGAAACTGACCAGTGTCCAGTGTTAGCCCCCACATGGGGCTGCTCTTGCTTCTACTAAAAGATACAGCAGTTACCCCCTTATCCACAGGGGATACAGTGGATATCTAAAACCAGACCCCCAGTGGATGTCTAAAACCACAGATAATAACAAACCTTATACATACTGTTTTTTCCTATGCATACATACCTGTGATTAAGTTTATGAATTAGGCACCTTAAGAGATTGACAACAATAACTAATAATAAAATGTAACGGTTATACTGTAATGAAAGTTGTAAATGTGGTCTGTCTCACAATATCTTCTTGTACTGTACTCATCTCTTTTCCAGGTGGCTGTTGACTCTGGGTAACTAAAGCTGCAGAAGGTGAAACTCAGGTACTATTGTATATCTCTGTGGCTGCTGTTTTTGTTTTAATTAAGTAGCTTTGTTTTTTTGTTTTTTTGTTTTTTTGTTTTTTGAGACCAAGTCTTGCTCTGTTGCCCAGCATGGAGTGCAGTGGCGTGATCTCAGCTCACTGCAACCTCTGCCTCCTGGGTTCAAGCAATTCTTCTGCCTCAGCCTCCCAAGCAGCTGGGACTACAGGCGTGCACCACCACGCCCAGCTAATTTTTCTATTTTTACTAGAGATGGGGTTTCACCATATTGGCCAGGCTGGTCTCAAACTCCTGACCTCGTGATCCACCCGCCTCGGCCTCCCAACATGCTGGGATTACAGGCGTGAGCCACCATGCCCGGTCTGCTTGTTTGTTTGTTTTAGAGACAGACTGGAGTGCTGTGGCATGACCATAGCTCATGGCAGCCTCAAACTCTTGGCCTGAAGTAATCCTCCTGCCCCAGCCTCCCTAGTAGCTGGGACTACAGGCATGAACCAGCATGCCTGGCTTCAATTTCCTTTCTAGTATTTACACAAAGTACCATAAAATAATTTCAAATGATTTATACCAAAAAGACCATTGTTGGCCTTAATATAATTAAGATATAATAACCCCACATATTTGGCAATTTTAAGTCTTACACTGATTATATTCAATTAGATTTGAATAACTTGGAATTTGGATAAATGGCTTTTTATTTCCCATTTTTTGTCTTTACAGAGGTAAGATAAATGTTTTTAATATATGGAAGTATAAGCTTGTGAATACACCAAAGAAATTAACCAAAGAATAGGAAAGAGGAATCTGGCCTATTCACGTGATACAATGTACGAAAATGTACAATAGTACTTTAATCCATAAATCATTCAACCTGGGAAGATAACTCAAAATGTTTAACAACCAGAACAGTAACATTAAATAATATATAGATAATACAAATAAAAAATTTAAATTTTATAAGTAAACATGAATATTTTAAAACTGCTTACCAAGTAATATAAGTTGCATCAAACCACTCATCAAATCATTCTTATAATTTCCAAGAAAAAAAACTATATACATGAATTTTTAAAGGATTACCGGTTCATTGCCAAAAGGAGAAAAATATACAGAAAAGTAGAACAATTTTTCCTAGTGCTACAGATTACTCAGTATTTTGGTGTTTATTCTGTATTTTTTTTCAGAGTTTAACTGATGTCATATATGAAATTTTTATTCTACTCCTTTCATTAAGCATAAAACATTTTTTGCAGATGCTTTCTGTTCTCAGCCACAGTAGCTCAAACGTAGAAATGAAGGAAAACCACCCAAATGAGAAACAGTATTCAGAGCTTGCTACAGCAAGGGAGTCAGCAACATCCCCGGTGTGGGTAGGCGCAAGGACGCAGGGGGTGGAAAACGGGGAAGGCTCCAGGTGGTTCTGACCGCAGGCTGTTGGAAACTGGAGGTGAGCTAACAAGAAGCAGGATGTTTTCTGTGACTGGTTTGGGGAGCGCTTTCTTGGGTTGGTTCTGACATGGGGAGGGTGGTACAAAAAATAGAGGAGCAAGCAGTCCTGACCACGTCCTTCCCAAGCAGCCGACTGCCCGGTTACTGCAGAGGCTGCAGTCAGTTTATTGTCATTCGTTATCTGACCATTGTCTATTGGCATATTGTCTCTCAATTTTTTTTTCTAACTACTTACTGTACAAAAGTTGGAAAAATTTAAAAATTAGCATTACCTACGACCTTAGCCACACACACACACACACACGCCAGAAAATAATGCCGGTGTCACAGAAGTCAAACGATGTACTGTAATTCTGTAACCTTGCCTCTCCACAGCACGTTGTCACTTCAAACTCAGGTTCTTGCTGATGGAACTGCCTAAGAGTCCGTGCCGTTCTTCAGAACACTGATTTCCATTTCTTCCTAGTATTCTTCAGGGAACACTAGGGAATGAATAATAAATCACCTAGGTGAAGGGATTCCTTTCTTGGGGTAGCAGTATTGCCAGGTTGCTTTCCACGGTTTTGCACTTGACCGTTCTCCCAGCACCCTGTCAGAGGGGTAGCCCTCCCTGCACCCTTGTCAGGATTGGGTGTTTTCTTCAACGGGATGGTTTCTGCTGTTAAAAGCGAGTGTCGGCCGGGTGCAGTGGCTCACGTCTGTAATCCCAGTACTTTGGGAAGCCGAGGCGGGTGGATCACCTGAGGTCAGGAGTTCGAGACCAGCCTGGCCAACATGGAGAAACACCGTCTCTACTAAAAATACAAAAATTAGCTGGGCGTGGTGGCGGGCATCCGTAATCCCAGCTACTGGAGAGGCTGAGGCAGGAGAATCACGCCACTGCACTCCAGCCTGGGCGACTGAGCGAGACTGTCTCCAAAAACAAAAAACAAAAAAAAAACACCTCGCTTTTTTGGTGATAGTCACTGTGTAAAAGTTGGAAAAAAAATTAAAATTACAACCCTAGACACCGAGGGTTGTACGGTGGGAGGTAATTTTAATATTTTTTGTATTTTATTTTCCAACGAGGTTACAACCCTAAGCCACACAGGGTTGCGGCGTGAGCGTCGGGCTGCGGGGGCGCCTCCACCCTCCGTAGGGTGGGCCTGGGACGCTCCCGGGGCTGCAGGGGGACCGGCTTCGCGCTCGGCGGCCGCGCGCCTCCGCCGCCCTCTCCGGGAAGCGTGGGTGTGGTGAGCCCCTCCGTCTCCCCGTATTCCACCCCGGGCTCCGGTTCAAAGGCTAACTGTTCGCTGCTACCTAAAAGCACGGCAGCGCAGGCCTGGCAGGGCGGCCCCTCAGCCCCGCTCCGCGTTGTGTCCAAGGACTGGTCAGCGGAGGCCCTGTCGTCTCAATTCCAGTCTCCCCAGGGCCGGAACCAGTGCCTTAGGAAGATGCGGGCACGGCCCTGGTCAGACGACGAGTCGGCTACCAGGAATCCCGCACCCAGGACTCTTTCCGAGGTCGGAGGGGCGCAGATGACCAGCGAGAGGCGCGGCAGGCTAGAGGGATCCCAGTGCGCAGGGGCGGGGCCGCGGCGGCCGGAGCGAAGAGTATAAGCGCATGCGAGACGGCGTAGGGGACTAGAGGGTTCGGAGCGCGTGCGTGGGGCGGGGCCGCGGCGGGACAAATGCAGAGCGCACGCGCTTGGCTGCCTGGCGACTGCACAAGCAGGGATGGCGTCGCTTCAGCGTTCTCGGGTGCTACGCTGCTGCAGCTGCCGCCTCTTCCAGGCGCACCAGGTCTGGCGGGTGCCAGCCCCCTCCTCCTCCTCCGGCGCGGGGACAGCGGACGGGGAGTGGCGGGGCTGTGGGTGTTGTCTCGAATGGCTCCGGGATGCACCGGGCCCGAAGGAGTGCAGGGACCGCTGAGGGCGGGTCTCATTGGGGTCGCCCCCGCATAACGTTCTGAGCTTTTTGTTTGGTTCTTGTACAAACCAGAGGTAATGGTTCTGCGGAGGTGGCCTCTTGTGAATTGTAGCAGGTAGTGGGAGAATCCGGTTGAGTATAGCATCCTTTACGCAGAGCCTACCCCACGAAGTAGCGCTGTCGCAGTTTCAGTGAGAGGGGGAGGACGGTTCTTAGAGACCGAGCGCGCCGCGGCGGCGTCCCTGCTCCACACCTGGGCGCCCTCTCCGTCGCCCCGCGCCTCTGCCGCCGTCCGTTTCCGCGGGGCCAGGGACTTGATATGGCTGTTCGCCGACGCATAAACCACGGGCCCCGGAGTCTTAAAGACAGATAATCTGTGTTTCTAGGACATATTTGCCTCCCTAACTTTCAGCGTGCCAGATAGAGAATGCCACTTAACCTTTTCCGGATCGCACCTGTCTCCCTGCTTGATATCACTTAACACTGCAGTCACCGTATCTGCTTCTGATAGTCCCTCCCTCCTAATTATTGGTAATCTGCTATGCCCTGAGAAAGAATAGCATCAGACTTCTTCTTCTTTTTTTTTTTTTTTTGAGACGGAGTTTCGCTCTTGTTGCCCAGGCTGGAGTGCAATGGCGCGATCTCGGCTCACCGCAACCTCCGCCTCCCAGGTTCAAGCAATTCTCCTGCCTCAGCCTCCCGAGTAGCTGGATTACAGGCATGCGCCACCATGCCCAGCTAATTTTGTGTTTTTAATAGAGACAGGGTTTCTCCATGTTGGTCAGGCCGGTCTCGAACTCCTGACCTCAGGTGACCCGCCTGCCTCGGCCTCCCAAAGTGCTGGGATTACAGGCGAGAGCCATTGTGCCCGGCGTGGATCAGACTTGTTTAAGAGGTATGTTAAAAAGTCAGCAAGATGCTGAGTATGTGTCTGTAAGCTTGCATTTAATGCTAAGCGTTTGTAAGGGCCATTTTAAGGGCTCAGAAACTTTTTACTTATTTTCTTTCGGGAGCTGGGTCCTAAGAGTTGCAAATAAAGGGAGATCATTTGCATTTTTAAATTATTCCACGTCTAATGTTTCATGCTGTTTTTTAAAAACAAATTTTCCGTTTATTTTTATTTCCTTTTTTTGTTTTTGAGACAGAGTCTCACGTCTCACTCTGTCGCCAGGCTGGAGTGCAGTAGCGTGATCTCGGCTCACTGCAACCTCCGCCTCCTGGGTTCAAGCGATTCTCCTGCTTCAGCCTCCCGAATAGCTTGGATTACAGGCGCGCGCCACCAAGCCCAGTTAATTTTTGTATTTTTAGTAGAGACGGGGTTTCACCATGTTGACCAGGAAGGTCTCCATCTCTTGACCTCGTGATCTGCCCGCCTCGGCCTCCGAAAGTGCTGGGATTACAGTGCTGGTGTTACGGGTGTGAGCCACTGCGCCCGGCCTCTATTTCCTTGTTTGTTTTCCTGTTTCACTCTTCCATGTTCACCAGTGTTATTTATTTATTTATTTACTTATTTATTTTGAGACAAGGTCTCGCTTTGTCGCCCAGATTGGAGTGCAGTGGTAACAATCACAGCTCGCTGCAACCTGCATCTCCCGGGCTCAGCTGATCCACCTCAGCCTCCCACGTAGCTGGTACTACAGGTGTGGGCCACCATCCCCAGCTAATTTTTATATTTTTTGTAGGAATGAGGTTTCGGCCGTGTTGCCCAGGCTGGTCTGGAACTCCTGGGCTCAAGTGTTCTTCCCGCCTTAGCTCCCAAAGTGCCGGGACTACGGGTGTGAGCCAGCGCCCCTGACCCTCGTGGTCATTTTCAACCTTATGAAATGTGAGTTGCTTGGCCCCGGTGGCTCACGCCCATAATCTCAGCACTTTGGGAAGCCCACTAGGGCAGATCACTTGAGCTCAGAAGTTCCAGAGCAGCCTGGGCAACGTAGCGAGACCTTGTCTCTACTAAAATTCAAAATAAAATAGCTAGATGTAGTGGCGCGCATCTGTAGTCCTAGCTACTCAGGGTCGCTGAGGCAGGAGAATCGCTTCAGTCCAGGAGGTAGAGGTTGCAGTGAGCCGTGTTCACACCACTGCACTCCAGCCTGGGCGACAGCCAGACCCTGTCTCAAAAACAAAGAAAAATTACTTGAAACCAAAGAGGACGGCAAGTCGGCTATGTACTACTTTAATTTTAATTGCAAGTCGGCTGTGTACTACTTTAACACGTTTAACTTCAACAACCTTTGACTTAGGCATCATTCCCATCTTAGAGACATGAGAATTCCGAAATACACGGGAATCAAGTGGTTTCTCCATCTAGGGAGTGGCAGAACCATACTATCTCAGCAGTTCCCACAATTAATTCCTTTACCAGGTTCTGTGAGTCCTAAACTTTTAAAAAGGCTTTTCTTGGCCGGGTGCGGTGGCTCACACCTGTAATCCCAGCACTTTGGGAGGCCGAGGGGGGCAGATCATGAGGTCAGGAGTTCGAGACCAGCCTGGGCAATGTTGTGAAACCCCGTCTCTACTAAAAATACAAAAAATACAGGTCGTGGTGGCGGGCACCTGTAATCGCAGCTACTTGGGAGGCTGAGGCAGGAGAATCACTTGAATCCAGGAGGCAGAGGTTGCAGTGAGCCGAGATCACGCCACAGTGCTCCAGCCTGGGCAACAGAGCCAGACTCTGTCTCAAAAAAAAAAAAAAAAAAACAACTTTTCTTACTTGTTTATATACTCATAGAAAATCCACAGTTTTATTGGTGTTTTAAGGTAGAAGCTGAGAAGTAAAATTGCTAAGTCATTACCCAGTTCAATTTTTGGTAGGTGCTCATTGTCCTCCTTAGAATCCTTTTGGATACTTCCCCCGAAAACCTCATGATTTTGTATTAGGATCATATTAATCGTATTAATGTTAATGGATCAACCTAGACATCTTTGTGGTGTTAAACATGATCCATTACGTTTCTTCAAGTAACCTTGGTATCCCTTGGTAACATTTTATTTGTTGCTGTTATAAATGGACTCTTTATCAATTATGTGTTCTAATTAGATGTCTGCTCATATAAAAGCTATATTAATTTTTGAAGGTATCTTAATTTTGTACCTAACCACTGTATTAGACTATCTGGTTTTAGTGGCTTCTCATTTCATTATGTTGGTTTTCGGATAAAAAATTATGTCAGGTAGCAGCCGGGCTGGTGGTTCATGCCTTTAATCCCAGCACTTTGGGTGGGTCACTTGAGGTCAGGAGTTCGAGACCAGCCTGACCAACATGATGAAACCCTGTCTCTGCTAAAACCACAAAGTTAGCCGGGCGTGGTGGCACGTGCCTGTAATCCCAGCTACTTGGGAGACTGAGGCAGGAGAATCTCTTGAACCTGGGAGGTGGAGGTTGCACTAAGCCGAGATCTCACCATTGCACTCCAGCCTGGGCAATAAGAGCGAAACTCCGTCTCAAAAAAATTAAAATTAAAATTAAAATTAAAAAATTGGCTTTTCTTTGGGAGGCCGAGGTCTGCAGATCATTTGAGGTCAGGAGTTATTTCAGGTATTATAATTATGTCTATAAATAATGATAGGGTTTTCCGCTCCTTTATAATTTTTATACATCTTACAACTTTCTTCTAATTCCATTGGCTAGTACATCCAGAAAAAAATGGTAAATAATAGCGGGCAACCCTGGCTTGTTCTTGACTTCCATGTGGAATGCTGGTAAAGATTCTCCAGCATTAGAGTGGGTTTTAGGCATTTTATATGTTAAGAGAGAACACATCTAGTCAGGTTTAACAAGAATTGAAAATAAATGTTACGGAATTTTTTTTAGACCCAAGTTTAACAAGAATTTAAATATTATGGAATTTTTTTTACAGCTTCAATTTGAGTCTTACGGAGTGTTTTTGTTTTGTTTGGATTTGGTTTTGCGAGACAGGAATATTATGGAATTTTTTTTTACAGCTTCAATTTGGGTCTTTCAGAGTGGTTTTGTTTTGTTTGGATTTGGTTTTGTGAGACAGCCTCTTGCCATGCTACCCGGGCTGGCCTCAAACTCCTGGGCTCGAGTAGTCTTGGCCTCCCTCGTCGCTGAGACTACAGGCTCAAGCCACTGTGCCCAGCCCAATTTGATTGTGTTTCATACAGATAGCCAGTTTTCCCAGCACCAACCCGGACTTGTTAAATAGTCTGTTCTTTTCTCACTTTTAAAGTACCACCTTTATGATTATGATACGCTAAATGTTTACACATGCTTTGGTTTGTTTCTGGACTCCTTCCATCAGTTTTTAAAATTATTTCAGGCCAGATCCAGCCCTGGTGGCTCACGCCTGTAATCCCAGCACTTTGGGAGGCCGAGGCGGGTGGATCACCAGGTCAGGAGATCGAGACCATCCTGGCCAACACGGTGAAACCCCGTCTCTACTAAAAATACAAAAAATTAGCCAGGCGTGGTGGCGGGCACCTGTAGTCCCAGCTACTCGGGAGGCTGACACAGGAGAATGGCGTGAACCCGGGAGGGGGAGCTTGCAGTGAGCCGAGATTGCGCCGCTGCACTCCAGCCTGGGCAGCAGAGCCAGACTCTGTCTCAAAAAAAAAAAAAAAAAAATTATTTCAGGCCAGGCATGGTGGCTCACACCTGTAATCCCAGCACTGTGGGAGGCCAAGGCAGGTGGATCACTTGAGGTCAGGAGTTTGAGAACAGCCTGGTCAACATGGTGAAACCCCATCTCTACTAAAATACAAAAATTAGCTGGGCGTGGTGGTACACACCTGTAATCCCAGCTACTTGGGATTTAAAAAAAAAAAATTTCAGATCCAATTCCATTTGTTTTTTGTTTGTTTGTTTGTTTTTTTGAGATGGAGTCTCACCCTGTCGTGTAGGCTGGAGTGCAGTGGTGCAATCTTGGCTCACTGCAACCTCCACCTCCCAGGTTTAAGCGATTCTCCTGTCTCAGCCTCCTGAGTAGCTGGGATTACAGGTGCCCGCCACCATGCCTGGCTAATTTTTGTATTTTTAGTAGAGACTGGGTTTCACCATATTGGTCAGGCTGGTCTCGAACTCCTGACCTTGTGATCTGCCCGCCTCGGCCTCCCAAAGGGGGATTACAGGCATGAGCCACCGAGTCCAGCCCAATTCCATTTTGTTTTAAATAATTATCTGAGTTGTATTTCTGAAATTTCATTGCAGGTAAAAAAGAGTGTCAAGTGGACATGCAAAGCTTGTGGAGAGAAGCAGTCCTTTTTGCAGGTGAGTCCTACAAAACAGAAAGCAAGTGGGGCGCAGGCCTGCAGCGAGCCCTTCCAGGGAGTCCCAGCATGCCACAGCTGGGATCATCCTCTCTCAAACAGAGTTCCCCAGACACGGAGCTCCTGCTTCCGAGCTTCCTGTTCCTTCAGGAAGTGAAATGGATGGAGCAGAATCTGGAAAGGTACTGCCATTTGATTCTTCATTCAGCAAGTATTTCTTGAGTACTTTCTGTGTGCCAAGCACAAGGGGAACAGTGGAAAGTAAGCCCATTGTCATTCTTGCCCTCACAGATGCACTTGTGTGGAAGGGGAAGAGAAACTAATGCACACATGCATCTGCATAATTTAAAACTCGGCTGAGCACAAGGAAAGGAAAGCACTGGGGACTGTGAGAAGATGACAGAGGAATCAGGGCAGCCGGGGAAGGGCAGAGGCCGTTGGTGGAGGTGGAGGTGTGGGATAGTGGGCTCAGGAAGTGGAGGCAGGCAGGGGCAGGCTGTAAATGCTCTCATCCAGCTGTTTGCAGCTGGCATTCAGTACGTCTTTTCAGTCCATCCGTATTGCCCCTCCTGAACTCTAGGACCCCAAACTGTCCTGCATCCTTTGCCTTACTGAACTTGCTCTTTTCCTGCTCCAGCCCCAGTGCCACCTCTCCCTTCACCTCTCATCTTTCCTCTCCTTCTACAGCCATGTGCTTTCTTTCTGACCTTAAACCCAAATTTGCTCCCTCTTCAGGCCTTTGTGCTCACTGTGGAGTTCCCCTCCCTCTTCTCAGTATCCTATGGAAGTTACATAGTCATGTGTTTATGCACGGATTGTCCATCTAAGGCTGTAAGTTCCGTGAGAACAGAGGCTTTTTATTTGCTGGTGTATCCGCAGCACCTAGCACAGTGCTCGGTGTTTGTGGAGTGAGTAAGGAACTGGCCCAACCTTGTTGGGCATTTAGGTTGATTTCCCTTTTGACTGTTATGCACAACTCTACCGTGAAGCTTTTCACAAAAACCTCTTTATCCACGTGACCAGCTGTTTACTGTTTACTTAGGACAAAGTCCTAAAAGTTAAATTGCTGTTTTTTGGGGTTTTTTTTTTTTTTGACATGGAGTCTCTCTCTGTCATGCAGGCTGGAGTGCAGTGGCGCAATCTCGGCTCACTGCAACCTTCGCCTCCCGGGTTTAAGCAGTTTTCCTGCCTCAGCCTCCTGAGTATCTGGGACTACAGATGCATGCCACCACACCCAGCTAATTTGTTTTTTGTATGTTTAATAGAGACGGGGTTTCACCATGTTGGCCAGGCTGGTCTTGAACTCCTGACCTCAAATGATCCACCTGCCTCCGTAGACAAAAACATTTCATAATGTTGGTGAGTGCCTTCACCTGATATTTTTTATTTTTTTATTTTTTTTTAGACGGAGTCTCGCTCTGTCACTCAGGCTGGAGTGCAGTGGTGCGATCTCGCTCACTGCAAGCTCCGCCCCCTGGGTTTACGCCATTCTCCTGCCTCAGCCTCCTGAGTAGCTGGGACCACAGGCTCCCACCACCACGCCCGGCTAATATTTTGTATTTTTAGTAGAGATGGGGTTTCACCATGTTAGCCAGGATGGTGTCAATCTCCTGACCTCGTGATCTGCCCACCTTGGCCTCCCAAAGTGCTGGGGTTACAGGCGTGAGCCACCGTGCCTGGCTGATATTTTTTTTAAAAAAGGGAAAAAAAACACTTCAGAATGGGTTCAGCAAAGTTAAAAAATAAATAAATAAATAAATAAAGTGCTGGCAAGGTAATGAGATCTCTTAGGGAATCCAAGGGCAGAACTTCATCCCCGGTCCCTTGAAAAACTAGCCCCAAGAACTGAAAAGCTGCCAACAAGCCAGACATCAGCTTTTCCTGCCCATCACCCAGCTTCTCCCTATATCTTTACTCTATTTTCTCCTCTCCTTCCCTTTCTGTTTCTCCCCAGACTGTTCAGTCAGATTCTCTGCTCCAAGTCCATAGAATCTCATTCCAAGCCAACTGGAAGAGCTGAGTCTCAATTATAAATTCCTAGGAGAAGCAACCTGGTTGGCCCAGGCTGACTCGGATGCCCACCTCTGGTCCAGTCAACTGGGATTGGGTCTCAGAAGAGAGGGGCTGGCTTACCAGGTAGGCAGACACCCCACATGGTGAGCATGGCTTGTTTGAGATGTATATATTTCTACATTCTCCTTGAGGAAGCCTTCTTACTCCCCTCAATGCCTCTGTGCTGTGTGTGGTATGTGGTGTATGGCTGACTAGGCCACAGTAACAAACACACCAAAATTGTGGTGGCTTAATACAATAGACGTTTCTCTTGCTCTCATAACAGTCCTGGGAAGATGATAAGGTCAGCAGGGCGCTGCCCTTGATGTGGTTGCTCAGGGATCCAAGCTCCTGCCATCTTGAGCTGCTTCTATTCCCTGAGGCTCATCTGTAGCTGCTTCTAGCCACTGTGCTTCTAGCCACTGAGAAGGGCAGGTGCTTGGAGGAGCTACCGAGAGGCTTTGAGGGCCAGGCTGGGAAGCAAGTGACAGTGCCATGGAAAGAGGCTGGTTTCGTGGCCACCCCTGACCACACGCACACTGGAAAATGACATCTAGTTTTCGGGAAGAATGCGCTTCAGTATCCATCCAGCAGTCCCTGCCCTATGGAAGAGCACACCGCTACTGGTTATGCCAGCCTGGTCTTTGCCATTTCCCCCTCCAGCTACTCTTCTCCGTTCTCAGGCGAATGTGCTCCAAACAGGACTGCACTCCCTACGTGTCCATTACAATTGCTTCTGTCAGCGTCAGCAGTGGTCTCTGTGTTGCTAAAAACAACGGTTGGTTCTCAGTTCTCACTTGACTTACTAGCTGCCAGGCACTGGGAGTCCACCAGAATTCTGTGCTCACGGGACATCAAGAATGCTCCTGCCAGTGGGGTGTTGAGGAACACTGGACACGTATAGTGTGTGTGTCTGATCACAGATGTGCTCCATTGTCCCAGCACACTTCACTTAAAAAACACAGGTTCAAAGGCCAGACTGTTAAGAATTTCAAGATGGCGACAGCAGAGCGGCTGTCACACCCTGAAGCTGATTCTGCCTGTGCCATAGCAGGACGCATGCTCTCAAATTCCATCTCGTACCATCTGCCTGTGCCATAGCAGGACGCATCCTCTCAAATTCCGTCTTGTACCATCTGCCTGTGCCATAGCAGGACCCAGGATCTCAAATTCAGGCTCTTAACATCTGCCTGTGCCATAGCAGGACTCATGCTCTCAAATTCCATCTCGTACCATCTGCCTGTGCCATAGCAGGACCCGTGGTCTCAAATCCCGTCTCGTACCATCTGCCTGTGCGATAGCGGGACCTGAGCCCTCAAATTCCGTCTCGTACCATCTACCTGTGCCATAGCGGGACCCGTACTCTCAAATTCCATCCCGTACCATCTGCCTGTGCGATAGCGGGACCCGAGCCCTCAAATTCCGTCTCGTACCATCTGCCTGTGCCATAGCGGGACCCGTACTCTCAAATTCCGTCTCGTACCATCTGCCTGTGCCATAGCACGACCCATGGTCTCAAATTCCATCTCTTACCATCTGCCTGTGTCATTGCAGGATCCATGCTCTCAAATTCCGTCTCGTAGCATCTGCCTGTGCCATAGCAGGACCCATGGTCTCAAATTCTGTTTCTTACCATCTGCCTGTGCCATAGCAGGACCCATGGTCACAAATTCCATCTCTTACCATCTGCCTGTGTCATTGCAGGATCCATGCTCTCAAATTCCGTCTCGTAGCATCTGCCTGTGCCATAGCAGGACCCATGGTCACAAATTCCATCTCTTACCATCTGCCTGTGCCATAGCAGGACCCATGGTCACAAATTCCATCTCTTACCATCTGCCTGTGTCATTGCAGGATCCATGCTCTCAAATTCCGTCTCGTACCATCTGCCTGTGCCATAGCAGGACCCATGGTCACAAATTCCATCTCTTACCATCTGCCTGTGTCATTGCAGGATCCATGGTCACAAATTCCATCTCTTACCATCTGCCTGTGCCATAGCAGGACCCATGGTCTCAAATTCCATCTCGTACCATCTGCCTGTGCCATAGCAGGACCCGTACTCTCAAATTCCATCTTGTACCATCTGCCTGTGCCATAGCAGGACCCATGGTCTCAAATTCCGTCTCGTACCATCTGCCTGTGCCATAGCAGGACCCGTACTCTCAAATTCCGTCTTGTACCATCTGCCTGTGCCATAGCAGGACCCATGGTCTCAAATTCCGTCTCGTACCATCTGCCTGTGCCATAGCAGGACCCGTACTCTCAAATTCCATCTTGTACCATCTGCCTGTGCCATAGCAGGACCCATGGTCTCAAATTCCGTCTTGTACCATCTGCCTGTGCCATAGCAGGACCCATGCTCTCAAATTCCGTCTCGTACCGTCTTCCCCTTAGACCCCTCAGCTCCAGCGATGCTGGCCTCTTTGCTGTTCCTCCAAAATTTCAGGCTCAGGGTCTTCACACTCATTCTCATGTATTGCTTCTGCTGGAATGTTCTTCCCCTAGACAGCCATGTGGGTTGCTTCTTCATATCTTCCTGTTTGTGCTCAAACGTTACCTTCTTAGAGATGCATTTCTTGACCATTTTGAACACCTTATGTAAAACGGTATGCTCTTATGTACGACCTCTTTCCTGGCCTTGTCTTTCTCAGGAGCACTTACTAGCATCTGATAGGTTATATGGCTCACTTGTTTCTTTCCTGTCTCTTCTCACTTGAATGTGAGTTCCATGATGACAGGGAGTCTTGTCCATTCCTGTATTGTCTACCCCAAGATGAGGCCTGGCACACAGTTGGTATTCAATAAATATTTGTTGGATGAATTTGTGACTGGTAAGTGGGAAAAAATGTATTTTATTTTGTATTCCTTTGATTATCAGTGAAGGTAAGTATCATTTCATATATTTTTTGGCAGTATGTTATACAATATGGCAATATGTGTTACTTCTCTTGTGACCTTTTTACTCATGTGCACTAACCATTTTGTGTAGGGCTTTGGGTTGAGTTTGGCTTCAGTAGGTAGAGTTCAGGGTGATTGTGGGACAGCCACATAGATGTAAACTATTAGTTCCGGAGACTGTTGGTTTGTAAATCATTCTAGAGACAGCCGTCAGTCATTAGGATTCCTGCATGCTGCTTTAGGGGTCTTTGGGCCTTGCAGAATACAGCTTTGTCCTCCCTGAGGTGCATCTCAAATGGATCTGTTTCTCAGCATTCTGCCAGCACTTTTTCAATGTAATATATTTTTTGGTTTCTCAGGCTTATGGTGAAGGCTCTGGTGCTGATTGTAGACGCCATGTCCAAAAGTTAAATCTACTACAGGGACAAGTTTCAGAGCTGCCACTCAGGTACAGTTGTTTGAGAAGAGCGTGGTTGTCTTGCCCTGTTTTCGTCTTGACTGGATAATAGAAGTACACAGTGGAAATCCTGAGCTGGGCACTCTGCTGTGGCTGGACCTGCCCCAGGTCCCTGCTGTCACTTTGCCATCTGAGGTCAGCAGCTGCCCTCAGAACCGACCCCGGGGATGTTTAGAATACTGGGGCTGAGCTTCACCCGAGGAGATTCTCACCTGATTACCTGTGATGAGGTCCAGACCTGTGGTTTTTAAAGCTGGCAGGCCATTGCTCTGTGCCTCCAGAGCTGAAGGCTCTTGACACAGCTGTTCTTGTTTGTGGCTGGCTCACCAGAGAGGCCCTGGTAGGACAGACCCCACTGGGCCTGGGTCAGTGGAGAAGTCCCTTAGACTTCCACGTCTTACAATATGGCAGTCAAACACCCTGAGCAATTCTCCCACTGAAAATAACTAAAAATGCTAGCTATTTTAAATGCACTGATGAGCTGACAAGAAAGTAACTCTCGGCCAGGCGCAGTGGCTCATGCTTGTAGTCCCAGCACTTTAGGAGGCCAAGGCGGGCAGATCACGAGGTCAGGAGTTCGAGACCAGCCTGGCCAGCATGGTGAAACCCCGTGTATATTAAAAATACAAAAAAATTAGCCTGGCATGATGTTGCATGCCTGTGATCCCAGCTACTCAGGAGGCTGAGGTAGGAGAATCACTTGACCCCAGGAGGCAGAGGTTGCAGTGAGCCGAGATCGCGCCATTGCGCTCCAGCCTGGGCGACAGAACGAGACTATCTCAAAAAAAAAAAAAAAAAAAAAAAAAAGTAAGTAACTCTCAGAGGTCAAAAATGAAGAAGCGGGTCTGATGGTGGTGGGTTATGAGAACTGATTAACATTAGTGTCACTAACGTTGGTATACAACTCTCCACTGCTAAGTTTAACTGGCTTAAAAAAAAATGTAGAAGCCAAAATCCAGAGAGGAAGCACCTGAGCTGCTGGGGTGATTGAAGCCCGGTGCTCTGGAGCCTCCATTTCGACGGCTGGGAGAGGGGCAGGAGGCCCTCAGAAGACAAAACCTACGGCAGTGTGGGCGGACCAGTAGGACACCTCCTAACAAAACTGAGCTCCCGGAGGACTACACCCTCGGTGTACAAATGAACTAGATCCACTCTGCAACAGGCAGCTTGCCTGTATTGACCTTGGCAATGGCTGAAGAGGGGGAAATATCTCTAAGATTTTGGAAATAAAAGGAAGTAGTTGCATGGTTTTTCAGCCTTTTACATACCCTGTGTGAAAAGCCTCAAGCAGAAAATTTATGTTTTAATTGTCCCAGGAAGCAGAGGTAAATGGAGCTCCTCTTTGCAGCAATATATCTTCAATTGCTGGGCCTTAAAGTTCCCACAGAGGCCGGGTGTGGTGGCTCACCCCTGTAATCCCAGCACACTGGGAGGCCGGGGCAGATGGATCATGAGGTCAAGAGATCGAGACCATCCTGGCCAATACGATGAAATCCCGTCTCTACTAAAAATACAAAATCAGCTGGGCGTGGTGGCGGGCGCCTGTAATCCCAGCTACTAGGGAGGCTGAGGCTGGAGAATTGCTTGAATCTGGGAGGCGGAGGCTGCAGTGTTCCGAGGTGGTGCCACTGCACTCCAGCCTGCCAATAGAGTGAGACTCCATCTCAAAAAAAAAAAAGAAAAAAAGAATCCCCAAAGAAAAAGTTCCAAGTAGCATAATATACTCAGGAGTTTAAAATCATTTAACATTCAAGGAAATACACCACCAGGAGCAAAAGATCAACAGTCAGAAAAGTCAGACCCATAAAGACTTCAGAATACATGATATTGCATGTTTAATATATTTAATCCAATAAAAGAAGTGGGTGATAAGATGAGGGCCTTCAAAAAATAGGTGTATTTGAGAGCTTTTTTGGAGGTTCTAGCAGGGGAGTGCAGCTACTCATATACCCTGGACCAAAGACCGCTCCTCCTCTATTGGAGGTGGTCGTCCTCTTCGACCAAGCGCACAGCTTCAGGAGGGACGCACATGGAGCGGTGAGGGAAGAAGGGGACACCACCTAGCCATCCAGATCAGCTAACCAACCCTGGTGATTGATGGAGTGACAGATGGTGCAGCCACATCACCCTCACATCCAAAAAAATAGGTGTATTTGAAAAAGAACCAAAAAGAGGCCGGGTGCAGTGGCTCACACCTATAATCCCAGCACTTTGGGAGGCCAAGGCAGGCGGATTATTTGAGGTCAGGAGTTCAAGCCCAGCTTGGCCAACATGGTGAAACCCTGTCTTTACTAAAAATACAAAAGTCAATTGGGTGTGGTGGCACATGCCTGTAATCCCAGCTACTCAGGAGGCTGAGGCATAAGAATCGCTTGAGCCTGGGAGGCAGAGGTTGCAGTTAGCCAACCTCCGCCTCCCAGGCTCAAGTGAGGCCTGCACCAGAGTGAGACTCTGTCTTTAAAAAATAAAAGAGTTTGTAGAACTTAAAAGTATAATCATTGAAATTAAAAATTCATTTCAGGCCGGGTGCAGTGGCTCATGCCTGTAATCCTAGCAATTTGGGAGGCCAAGGCAGGCAGATCACTTGAGGTCAGGAGTTCATGACCAGCCTGGCCAACATAGTGAAACCCCATCTCTACTAAAAATACAAAAATTAGCTGGAAATCACTTGAACCCAGGAGGCGGAGGTTGCAGTGAGCCAAGATTGTGCCACTGCACACCAGCCTGGGTGACAGAGTGAGACTCCATCTCAAAAAAAAAAGAAGAAATTAAAAATTCAGTGGACACGTTAAACAGATTAAATGCAGCTGAAGAGAGAATTAGTGAAATGGAAGATAAATCTAGAAAATTATTCACAGTGCAACACAGAAAAATGGAAAAGTAGAAAATATAAGGGAAAGTTGAGAGACGTGGAGGTTACAGAGGAGAGTTCTAGCAAAAGATAATTAAGAGAATGGGGCAAAAGCAATAACTGAAGAGATAAGAGCACAGCATTTTCCAGAATCAAAGACATAACATTTTTAGATTAAGGAAACACAGTAAATCCCAAACTGGATAAAAGCATTATTTTATTTGCAAATAGCATGATTGTGTATGTAGAAAATCCTAATGAATCTACAAAAAAGCTACTAGAACTAATAATTTAGCAAGATCACAAGAATACAAGGTCAACATACAAAATTAAATTGTATTTCTATATATATGCAGTGGACAATTGGAAAAATGATTTTTAAAATCAAATACCAGCTGGATGCGTACTTCACGCTTGTAATCCCAGCACTTTGGGAGGCCGAGGTGGGTAGATCACTTGAGCCCAGGAATTTGAGACTAGCCTGGGCAAGATGGCAAAACCGTCTCTACAATAAAAAGAAGAAAAAAAAAGGGCAGGCGTAGTGGTGCGTGCCTGTGGTCCCAGATACTCAGGAGGCTGAGGTGGGAGGATCCACCTGAGCCCAGGGAGGTTGAAGCTGCAACTTATCTCCATTGTCATGTGATTCCATCTTCCAGCAATCTTGGCTCACTGCAGCCTCTGCCTTCCGGGTTCAAACATTATCTGCCTCAGCCTCCTGAGTAGCTGGGAATATAGGTATGCACCACCGTGTTCGTCAGACTTGTCTCGAACTCCTGACCTCAGGTGATCCACCTGCCTCAGCCTCCCAAAGTGCTGGGATTACAGGAGTGAGCCACTGTGCCCAGCCCCTGGTCATTTTTCAAAGGGCATATGTATGGTCTTCCCTGAAGGTCTCTAGAAGAAACTGTCAGTGCCAGTGAAGAAGAAAACGTGGGACACCAGCAGGCTGGGAATGTGAAGCAGCAGGTAAGCCTCAGGCCCACCTGCCCCAGGCTGGCTCTGTGTCAGGGAAGGGATGAATGCACAGATGTATCCAGTAGTCATTATAGCAAATGTGTGTTGATGCCACCCAATGACAGGCAGTTGGCTTAAAGCTGCAGGGAACACAAAAATAAATAAACCTGTACCTTTTGTAAGGATGGAGGCAGCCATGTGTACCAAGCATTACAATACCCTGCAAAGGACTCTCTCCTCTGTCTGCTTGGAGAACTCCTGAATGTAGCTCAAATATCACCTTATACTGCTTCCACTTTGCTCCCACAGCACTCTGGGCATACCTCTGAGAGGGAAAGAATAATGGGGTGAAACACCTGGGTTTCCATCTTTCCTTGTTCCAGACTGCAAGCTGTTGTTTTGTTTTGTTTTGTTTTTTTTCTCTGAAACGAGGTCTCACTCTGTCGCCCAGGCTGGAATGCAGTGGCGCGATCATGGTTCTCTGCAGCCTTGACTTCCTGGGCTGAAGTGATCCTCCCACCTCAGGCTCCTGAGTAACTGGGACTACAACTGTGCCCTACCACGCCCAGCTAATTTTTTTTCTTTTTTGTAGAGGCAGGGTCTCCCTGTGTTGTCTAGGCTGGTCTCAAACTCCTGGGCTCAGGCCATCTTCCCACCTCAGCTCCCAAAGTACTGGGATTACAGGCATGAACCACTGCACCTGGCCAGACTCACACTTTGTTATAAGCAGAGGAAGATGCTCTTCTGGTACCTGTGCCTGTGCTTCCAATTCAGTCCATTTACAGACTTAATTTTATATCATTCTCATCAGAAATACTTTTTTGCATCCTAGTTTTGAGTTGTATCATTCTTCTGTGCTGCGGTATAGTTTTCAGTGATTTTCATTTCTTATTTATTAATTTTTGAGACAGGGTCCCTCTCTGTCACCCAGGCTGGAGTGTGGAGGCATGATCGCTGCTCACTGGAGCCCCAACGTCTCAAAAAACAAAAGTATTTACAGAATGTAGTAGATGCACCAGTATTGATTCCTTATTATGTGGCATTTAGGTTGTTTCCACACTTCTGCTTGCCTGCTTGCCTGCCTCCCTCCCTCCCTCCCTCCCTTCCTTCCTTCCTTCCTTCTTTCCTCCTTTCGACAGAGTCTCGCTGTGTCCCCCAGCCGGAGTGCAGTGGCGTGATCTCAGCTCACTGCAACTTCTGCCTCCTGAGTTCAAGCAATTCTCCTGCCTCAGCCTCCCAAGAAGCTGGGATTACAGGCACGCACCACCACGCCCGGCTAATTTTTGTATTTTTAGTAGAGACGGGGTTTCACCATGTTGCCTAGGCTAGTCTTGAACTCCTGAGCTCAGGTGACCCGCCCGCCTCAGCCTCCCACGGTGCTAGGGTTACAGGTGTGAGCCACCGCGCCTGGCCATGTTTCCACCCCTCTGTTCTTTTTTTTTTTTTTTTTTTTTTTTTTTTTTTGAGACGGAGTCTCGCTCTGCCCCCCAGGCTGGAGTGTAATGGCACCATCTCGGCTCACTGCAGGCCCCGCCTCCCGGGTTCACACCATTCTCCTGCCTCAGCCTCCTGAGTAGCTGGGACTACAGGTGCCTGCCATCACGCCCGGCTAATTTTTTGTTTTTTTTTTGTTGTTGTTTTTTTTTTAGTAGAGACGGGGTTTCACCGTATTGGCCAGGGTGGTCTCGATCTCCTGACCTTGTGATCCGCCAGCCTCGGCCTCCCAAGGTGCTGGGATTACAGGTGTGAGCCACCGCGCCCGGCTACTTCTGTTCTTATAAATGAAATTTGCTATTTTTTATAAGACTGGGACTGGCACCTCTGCCTTCTCTGTGTGGAATCACTGGGCCAGGGAGCATAGACTTTCATGAGTCTCTTGGTGGGCCGTGCCCTGCCGCCTTCCCGAGGCCTGTGCCAGTGAGCACTGTCCTGCCAGCATTGCATAGTATTGGCGTCCATCACCTTCCAGCCGGTGCCTTTCCTAGAGTGGAGCTGGACATGACTCCTGAGATCCTCAGGCCCAAGAGTTGGGCTAGGGGTTTTCGATAAAACTGCCTGGTTTCCAGTACTGAGAATCAACTTTTTTCTCAATCTGGCAGGAAAAATCGCAGCCCTCAGAGAGTCGCTGGCTGAAGTATCTAGAAAAGGACTCCCAAGAACTGGAGCTGGAAGGAACAGGAGTGTGTTTCAGCAAACAGCCTTCATCCAAAATGGAGGAGCCAGGCCCCCGCTTCAGTCAAGACCTGCCTAGAAAAAGGTACCAAGTGCGTCTCCGTTCCAGCCCTGGCCCAGGGCCTCTGCTGCCTCCAGCAGTGGGGCACCAGTGAGCCACTGTGAGCGTCAGCCAAGCGCGGGAAGCCTAGGTGGCAAGTGCCAGCAGGTGGGAAATCGGGCAGCTGCTGCCACTGCTGGCCCCACAGCCCACCTGGGCATTGGGCACTGCTGGTGCAGAGGCGAAGGCTGGGCAGGACACCCGTGTGCACACCCTTTATGATGCCCACTTAATTCTGAACATCTCAGACTGTACTGACCCCAGGGGAGAGGTCGGAGTAGCTGGCAGGCCTAAGAGCTTTTAGCTCAGAGAAGCAGAGGCCTCAGACTTGAAGGAAGTTTTCTTCTGCTTCAGGCATTTCAGTGAGATTTTTGGAGAGACTGCTTTAGGTTAAGGATCTAGGGAGGCTCTTAGAGGGCAGGTGCTTTCAGGAGGTAGATTCTGCTTTCAAACCAGAACCTTCATCCGGGTACAGTGGCTCACACCTGTAATCCCAGCACTTTGGGAGGCTGAGGCAGGAGGATCATTTGATCCTCCAGTCCGGGCAACATAGGGAGACCCTATCTGTACAACAGATTTTTTAAAACAAATTCATGGGGCATGGTGGTGCATGCCTGTGGTCCCAGCTACTTGGGAGGCTGAGGCAGGAGGATCACCTGAGCCCAGGAGGTCAAGGCGGCAGTGAGCCATTGCACTCCAGCCTGGGTGCCGGTGAGACCCTGACTGAAATAAAAACAAAACTTTCTAGCACCTAGAAGCTGTGAAGCAGGGGAGTGGGGCCTGGGCGGTGGCTGGACACCCTGAGCAGCTGCCTGGGAAGCCGTAGGAACAAGCAGGTGGCCACCCGAGCCTGTGGGCCATGTGATCGTGGAGTCAGGCTCGGGGTGCCACTGGAGAGTAGCACGGGACTACTGACGGTCCTGTCCTGACAGGAAGTGGAGCAGGAGCACCGTCCAGCCTCCGTGCAGCCGTGGCGTGCAGGACTCGGGTGGCTCTGAGGTCGCCTGGGGACCCCAGAAGGTCAGTGACAAACAGTTTCTCTCTGGTCCCAGTGACCACTGAGCGTGTGTGTGATAATTCTGTCTTTTGTCACAGTTGACGAAGTGTGCGATTCCTACCCGCAGAAAGCCCATCTTCCCACCCGGGTTTCTTGTCTTTTCTGTCTGAAGCCAACTCCTTCCTCGGGTCTGTACCCCCTTTTCCCTCCCATGCCTCTCGTCTCCCATGAGGGTAACTCAGGACCAAAGAGCATTGTGACCCTTGGAGAAACTGAGGTTGGCCAGCAGGTCAACCTGACGATGGGTCAGGGCCATCGTCTCATTCTGCGTGGAGCACGGGGACCTTTGTCCGGGCAGGAGTCGTCAGCGGGCCGCCCTGAATCCTGGGAGATGCTTCCCTCCACACTCGCATTTGCCCTGCTGTGGACTCTTGTATGTGAGGCACTCTTCACTTAGGGTGTTGTCTTGTTCTTTTTTGTTTTCTGAGACAGGGTCTCACTCTGTCTACCCAGGCTGGAGTGCAGTGGCACAGTCATAGCCTACTGAAGCCTCAACCTCCCAGGCTCAAGTGATCCTCCTGCCTCAGCCGCCAAGTAGCTGGGACCACAGATGCACACCACCACACTGGCTAATCTTTAAAAAATATTTTGTAGAGGCCAGGCGCAGTGGCTCACACCTGTAATCTCAGCACTTTGGGAGGCCGAGGTGGGTGGATCACTTGAGGTCAGGAGTCTGAGACCAGCCTGGCCAACATGGTGAAACCCCATCTCTACTAAAAATAATTAGCTGGGCGTGGTTGTGCACGCCTATAATCCCAGCCACTCGAGAGGCTGAGGCAGGAGAATTGCTTGAACCTGAGAGGCATAGGTTGCAGTGAGCTGAGATTGCATCACTGCGCTCCAGCCTGGGCAACAGAAAAAAAAAATTTTTTAGAGACATGGTCTCACTATGTTGCCCAGGCTTGTCTCAAACTCCTGAGCTCAAGCAATCTTCCCACTTCCCAAAGTGCTGGGACTATAGGTGTGGGCCACTGCGCCTGGCCCATTTGTCTTGTTCTTGAAGCTTCCAGTCCAGCAGGCCCCACCGCATATCCAGTGCTGCAGAGTGCAGGGTTTGCTCTGCCTGTCAGAGGAGCCAGGGCACAGCAAGGGCACTGCAGTTGGGAGTCCACTGGGCGTCAGTCACTGCCCCCACCCCCACATCAGCCAAGGTCGGTCTCCGCTGGCCTTGCACCACGCACAGAGCACTGGCTCATGCCAAGAAGCAGAATTCAAACTTTGATGTTGCCGCCAACTAGTTTTGTGATCCTGGGTAAGTAAGTGGCTTTGAATCTCCAAATCCTAGAAGAATGACCAGAGAGTCTGCCACGGGCCAGTCCCTGGGCTGCATGTTGTAATGGTATCATTGTGTTTCATGCTCCCTCAAGCCTGTTGCTTTGTTTTAAAGGTGAGGAACTGAGGCTTGCAGTTTTTGTGCAGTCATGGCAAGTTCAGTGGCAAAGCCAACGTCAAGTTTCAGGGCCGCAGAGCCTCTTCTGTACTGCCTGGGTGGCAGTGCTGCAGGGACCCACTCTATCGCTGCTTTCACATTGCTTTTCCCTTTGTAAGCAGCACAACCCAACTGTTGTTTTTTTTTTTTTTTTGAGTAGGAGTTTCACTCTTGTTCCCCTGGCTGGAGTGTAATGGCACGATCTTGGCTCACTGCAACCTCCGCCTCCCAGGTTCAAGCGATTCTCCTGCCTCAGCCTCCTGAGTAGCTGGGATTACAGGCACCCGCCACCACGCCTGGCTAATTTTTGTATTTTTAGTAGAGACAGGGCTTCCCCATGTTGGCCAGGCTGGTCTTGAACTCCTGACCTCAAGTGATCCACCCGCCTCGGCCTCCCAAAGTACTGGGATTACAGGCATGAGCCACTGCACCCAGCCTTTTGTTTTTGAGATGGGGTGTCACTCTGTCACCTAGGCTGGAGTGCAATGGTACAATCACACCTCATAGCAGCCTCCATCTCCCGGGCTTAAGTGATCCTCCCGAGCAGCTGGGATCACAGGCACTCACCACCACAGTTGGCTAATTTTTTGTAGAAGAGGGGGTTTCACCATGTTGCCCAAACTGGTGTCAAACTCCTGGGCTCAAGCAATCTGCCTGCCTCAGCCTCCCAAAGTGCTGGGATTCAGGCATGAGCCACTGCTCCCAGCCTACAACCCAACTTTCTTTTTTTTGAGACAGAGTTCGCTCTGTTGCCTAGGCTGGAGTGGAATGGCGTGATTTCGGCTCACTGCAACCTCTGCCTCCCAGGTTCAAGTGATTCTCCTGCCTCAGCCTCCCGAGTAGCTGAGATTACAGGCGCGTGCCACCACGCCAGGTTAATTTTTGTATTTTTAGTAGTGATAGGGTTTCGCCATGTTGGCCAGGTTGATCTCGAACTCCTGGCCTCAGGTGATCTACCTGCCTTGGCCTCCCAAAGTGCTGGGATTACAGGCGTGAGCCACTGCGCCCGGCCGACACCCAACTTTCAGAGCATCTTTGGTTCCTGGGGTGAGAGAAGCCAGACCCCAGCACCAGTCCTATCCCACAGGGAGCTCGGTGCTGCCACCTCTGCAGCTGCAGAACCCGGCAGGCTCTGGAGAGCTGCCCCCCGGTGGGAGGTAGCAGAATGGAGCCAGCGCACCCCTTTCCCGATGTCTCGAGGCCCTTCTGCTCAAAATTCTTTTGTAGGCACCGGTAACCTGATTCTAAGGTCCCCAGGAGATGGATCACCTGATGACATGAGAATGTCTTGTTTTTGGAAAGCCTGGTCATGCAATTTAGCAGAAGGTTTGCGGTGAGGTGGAAGGCATTTATTTGCTTTGTCTTGCTAACCCTCAAAATCAAAGCCTGTCCCAGCCTGACAGCTTCCAGCAGAAAGTGTCAGAACCAGAGGCCCAGCCAAGGCCCAGGCAGGGCAGGCGGTCCTCCTGGGCCCTGGCATTGTTCTTACACATGGAGGGCATGGCCATCTTCTCTTTCAGGGACAGGCTGGCCTGACATGGAAGGTGAAACAAGGCAGCAGCCCCTGCCTCCAGGAGAACTCTGCAGACTGCAGTGCCGGGGAGCTGAGGGGTCCTGGGAAGGAGCTATGGAGTCCCATCCAGCAGGTTACAGCCACATCCTCTAAATGGGCGCAATTTGTCCTGCCACCTAGAAAAAGTTCACATGTGGACAGTGAGCAGCCAAGGTCTCTTCAGAGGGACCCCAGGCCAGCTGGTCCAGCACAGGCTAAGCAAGGGACCCCCAGAGCACAGGCCTCAAGAGAAGGCCTCAGCAGGCCCACTGCCGCTGTCCAGCTTCCTCGGGCCACACACCCCGTCACATCTGGGTCTGAGAGGCCTTGCGGGAAGACCTCATGGGACGCAAGGACTCCCTGGGCAGAGGGTGGGCCCCTGGTCCTGGAGGCACAGAATCCTCGACCCACACGACTATGTGACCTCTTTATAACTGGGGAAGACTTCGATGATGATGTGTGATCTGGGACTGGCAGGTTATTAATCGAGATACACTTGTTAGGAGGGACAGGGTTCCCCTAAGGCACTTTTAAAGATACTCTGTAAGAACCATTAACAATAAACTTACTGTCAATCATTTCTCTCTATGCAAACGTCATTGGTTAAAGTGCTGATGCCATTTAATTAGATTGTTTACAAATTTAACAGGATGGCTACAAAGAGATCTTATTTTAAAAGCAGCTGATGGTTTGGAAATGAGAGAACTACAGTGGTGAAGAGACCAGGAGGCAGCTCTCAGTGAAACCAACATTGCGGATGCCCTTCGTGAGCCTTCTCAGTCCCAGCAGGAAGCCCACAACACTGGCCTCCCCAGCCTGCCTGCTGACAACACCTAGGCTTACTTTATCTAAAATCAGAGTGTACCAGGTCTGTAGCAGAAAATAATCAACTAAATGTCAGGGACCTATGAGTCATTTAAAACAAAAGAGAAAGTGAAAGCCATTAGGCAAGCTATGTGCTGGGCTGCTAACGTAGCCCCTGCAGGGAGGGGTCAGGAGCGCGCTGCAGTGAGCCTTGGGTCTCGCAGGCCCAGCCCTGCTGCAAGGAGCCAGGGCACCCAGGAAACATCAGCACACACACACACAGGGACCCTCCCTTCATGTCACTTGTTTTGCTGCCCTAAATGGCTTCTTGCACCCTAACCCCTGATCCTGGAAGAAGGCAGAGAAACTGGCCCGTACAGAGACCTGCAATTCTACGCAAGCTTAACACAACTATGAGACAGAAGAGGGGCACGCAGAAGAGGTGGGCAAAAGTGGTCACAACGGCGGGGGATGCTTTGAATACTGGATGGTGTCCAGAGCCGCTCCGATGTCATAGTTCTTGGTCTGCAGGAGCCTGGTGAGCCAGCCGCCTTCATCAGAGAAGCCCATGGACAGCATCTGGGAGAGGGACTCAATCAGCCGCGGGTCAGCCTCTGCCGAAACAGTAAGGAAGCCATGAGGAGTGGTGCTGAGCCCTGTGAGTGACCCGAAACACATACCCTGCTGCCTTGGCCAGCCAGGACCAGGGTCTGCCAGTGTCCGAGCCTGCCCAGAGCTCTCGTCCTCACAGGCCACAGTGGACCTGCTTTCCCTGTAAAGGGCCAAGCAGTCTTTTTCACACTGCTCAACTCTGCCACTGCGACACCAGGCAGCCAGGTGGTGTGTAAGCAGAACCATCAATGGACACTGAAATAGGCATTTCACCTGTCACATCTTTTGATTTTAAAATGTAAGAACAGGCCAGTTAGCCAATTATTACACTCCTCCATGCAAGAGATGATGGGGCATTGAAATAGATTGAAGATGGAGAGAGATGAATGGATACAAGATACATTTTGGAGGTAGAATGAACAGGACTTGGAAATGTATGTGGAGAAGGCAAAGGAGTTAAAGATGATATCTGGAGCAGCACAACTCACAATTGCAAAGATGTGGAACCAACCTAACTGCCCATCAAGCAATGAGTGGATAAAGAAAATGTGGTATATATACACCATGGAATACTACTCAGCCACAAAAAGGAACGAAATAATACCTTTTGCAGCAACTTGGACGGAGCTGGAGGCCATTATCCTAAGTAAAGTAATTCAGGAATGGATACCAAATATCATATGTTCTCACTTATGAGTAGATGCTAAGCTATGATGATGCAAAGACATAAGAATGATATAGCTTTCCCTCTCCCTCTTTCTCCACGGTCTCCCTCTGATGCCGAGCCAAAGCTGGACTGTACTGCTGCCATCTCGGCTCACTGCAACCTCCCTGCCTGATTCTCTTGCCTCAGCCTGCCGAGTGCCTGCGATTGCAGGTGCGCGCCGCCACGACTGACTGGTTTTCGTGTTTTTTTGGTGGAGACGGGGTTTCGCTGTGTTGGCCGGGCTGGTCTCCAGCTCCTAACCACGAGTGATCCGCCAGCCTCGGCCTCCCGAGGTGCCGGGATTGCAGACGGAGTCTGGTTCACTCAGTGCTCAATGGTGCCCAGGCTGGAGTGCAGTGGCGTGATCTCGGCTCGCTACAACCTCCACCTCCCAGCTGCCTGCCTTAGCCTCCCAAAGTGCCGAGATTGCAGCCTCTGCCCGGCCGCCACCCCGTCTGGGAAGTGAGGAGCGTCTCTGCCTGGCCGCCCATCGTCTGGAATGTGAGGAGCCCCTCTGCCTGGCTGCCCAGTCTGGAAAGTGAGGAGCGTCTCTGCCCGGCCACCCATCGTCTGAGATGTGGGGAGCGCCTCTGCCCCGCCGCCCTGTCTGGGATGTGAGGAGCGCCTCTGCCTGGCCGCGACCCCATCCGGGAGGTGAGGAGCGTCTCTGCCCGGCCGCCCCGTCTGAGAAGTGAGGAGACCCTCCGCCCGGCAGCCACCCCGTCCGGGATGTGAGGGGCGCCTCTGCCCGGCCGCCCCTACTGGGAAGTGAGGAGCCCCTCTGCCCGGCCACCACCCCGTCTGGGAGGTGTACCCAACAGCTCATTGAGAACGGGCCATGATGACAATGGCGGCTTTGTGGAATAGAAAGCGGGGAAAGGTGGGGAAAAGATTGAGAAATCGGATGGTTGCCGTGTCTGTGTGGAAAGAAGTAGACATGGGAGACTTTTCATTTTGTTCTGTACTAAGAAAAATTCTTATCCTGTTGATCTGTGACCTTACCCCCAACCCCGTGCTCTCTGAAACATGTGCTGTGTCCACTCAGGGTTAAATGGATTAAGGGCGGTGCAAGATGTGCTTTGTTAAACAGATGCTTGAAGGCAGCATGCTCCTTAAGAGTCATCACCACTCCCTAATCTCAAGTACCCAGGGACACAAACGCTGCGGAAGGCCGCAGGGTCCTCTGCCTAGGAAAACCAGAGACCTTTGTTCACTTGTTTATCTGCTGACCTTCCCTCCACTATTGTCCTATGACCCTGCCAAATCCCCCTCTGCGAGAAACACCCAAGAATGATCAATAAAAATAAATAAATAAATAAACAAAAATAAGAACTACTCTTGGCCCATAGGCCATAGCTCGCCATCCCCTGCCCTAAGGCAGAGAAGACACACAGCGGCGGCCCACAGCAGGTTGTGCACACGGACCTTGGTTTACACACGGCTGCCATGTGACAATGAGGAGTTTCTGTCAGCTGTCCCCACCCCCCACCCCCCCACTGCTGCCTGCCACACCATCCACTTCAACGGTGGCTTCTGCCTGGCTCCTACAGGGATCTTGGCTATGACCCCCCCCCCTCTCAGACCAGCACTCCCTGAGGCGGCACTTGAGTGTGAGTAGTAGGGACACACCCAGTGCTGCCCCCTCTCTGTGTCACACCTGCCTTAATTCCTGGTCTGCATGTTAAGTTTTAGAAACTCCTACAATTAATATTCCTGGCTCTGGAGTTTGCCTAAAGAAAAACATTTTCAGAACTGCATTAGCAGAGCTTACTCGCTATTGCTCAGGGTACACATAATAGGACAAAACCAACTCCTAACCTCCCACACCTACAGACAGCCCTGCAGTGGAGAACATCTCATCCTTCTGTTTGTGTCGCTGAAATCAGAGGAGGGCAGGATGCTCTAAAGGGAAAGGTAGGAATATGTACAAAACCTCTTGGTTCACTTGCCTGGCGGGAGATGTGGGTACAAGGCAGCTTCCTTCAGCCCTGTGGGTCCCTCCTGGGAGGGGTCCAGAGAGCTTGGCCCTTCGGATTCTGGCATCTGTAGGGACTGGAGTTCACCTGTAGACGGGTCCACTTCTTTTGAAGACAGATGGGTCCAGTCATCATCTCCTCCTGAACAGTTATCCGACTCCATCTGTTCCTGGAACAAAACTCACCATGAGCACACAGGAGACACGCGCAACAGGCCAAGCCTGACCATGGCCCTGGCTCCTGGCAGACAGTCGGGGAGCACGCATGCACACGTGCAGTTAAGGCTGCAGGGGTCTAGGGGGAACAGTGGCCACTCACAAAGACCAAGTAACTACAAAGTTCTAGCAGGTTCCCAGCGTGACTTTAATGGCACAGACATCACTGCAGCAGCAGCAGCTCCCTCGGGTTTGTAAGTGGGGCTGCAGAGGTGCTGAGGATGAGGCGGAGGTGCAGGCCACAGATCACTAGGCTGGCCGTGGTCCCAGGTGGCGGGAGGGGCACAGGCTTGCCTCAGGGCGCCCCTCGGACTCCAAGGCGATCTTCCTCATCTGCTCCGCCAGAGACTGCGTGGCGCCCTCAACATTCCCACCCGGCTTGCTGGGGTCAGAGCAGCAGCTGCTTGGCTGTGAGCTGCTCTTCTCCTCTGTGCTGGAACTCTCTGGAGAGACGGGGGTCAGGCGGCTTCTTTTCCCTCCGTGCTCCACATCGATATCAACTTCAATGCCTAGAGGCGGAGGAGGAAAGAGCAAGCCGTGAAGTTCCCCCAAGGATGCACCTGCAAGCAGGAGCTTGGCCTGTGGAGACTACAGACTCACGAAGATCTCAACGTTCAGTCCCCACAAGCAGCTAAGTGTCTGGATGGTGGCACTCAGCGTGTGGATGCAGGTGCTAGGTTCTACCCAGCTCGACCCCGCAATCACACAGCCAGTATGGGACCAGACGATACAAACCCATGAGTCAGAGGCTTCTCCCCATATCCCAGCTACAAATCTCTGTGGCTTCTGGAAACATTCTTGGTGGGCCCATGATACTGGACCTTTCTCTTTCTCCAATTCAGTAAAACATTAACCTCAGCTAGCATCTAAAGTCAGCTTCTGAGCCAGAAAGTCGAAAGAGACCTTTTTCCTAACCATGCAGGACACGGGCCACACGGCAGGTGGGGCCAGGCCCTAAGTACAGGGAGAGCCAATACCACATGTGGCAGGCGCTTCCAGCCACAGTGATGGAAGGCCATGTGCCTCCTGACACCTGCACACAGAGGCTTTGTGCGACGACACACACGCACACCTCAACGCCGGAGCTCTGCTCTGGGAGGTGGATGGGCCGTGCAGGCGCTGCGTAGGGCCCAACGCTGGCCCCACAGGGAACCTGCACACCTCCAGGCTCACGTGACTCACCAGGGACAGAGGGGAGAATCACCTGCACTATTTTTGAAATTAAATGTGTCAAAAGTCTCCACACCCACAGCTTAGAGTCACCAGTTGCCAAAGGCTGTGGTGCACACTCCCTGCCCCCATCCCACTCCCCAAACTCTCCCTGTGCCCTTTCAGCTCACGCTGCTCTTGCCTGCTGCTGGAGTTCACATCTGCGCACTTCCTACTCTGGACCAGTACCTGCCTCTCCTTCCACTACCCTTTCCAAGACGCAATTTTTTGTTAAAAGAACATTCAGTAGGCCGAGCGCAGTGGCTCACGCCTGTAATCCCAGCACTTTGGGAGGCCGAGGCGGGCGGATCACGAGATCAGGAGATCGAGACTACCCTGGCTAATATGGTGAAACCCCGTCTCTACTAAAAATACAAAAAATCAGCTGGGCGTGGTGGCAATCGCCTGTAGTCTCAGTTACTCGGGAGGCCGAGGCAGAAGAATCGCTTGAACCTGGGAGGCGGAGGTTGCAGTGAGCCAAGTTGGCGCCACTGCACTCCAGCCTGGTGACAGAGCAAGACTCCATCTCAAAAAAAAAAAAGAACATTCAATGTTTCAGCTAGGACCTCTATCTAAATGTTCTTTGCTGGGTCAAGTAGCAGACTATTTCTTTGTATCGCTTTTTGTTTTCCTACCACTGATAATGGCTTCTCTTTTCCTTTGTTTTGTAGACAGAGTCTCGCTCTGTTGCCCAGGCTGGAGCGCAGTGCCGCAATCTCTCGGCTCACTGCAGCCTCTGCCCACCAGGTTCAAGTGATTCTCCTGCCTCAGCCTCCCGAGTAGCTGGGACTATAGGCACGTGCCACCACGCCCAGCTAATTTTTATATTTTTAGTAGAGACGGGGTTTCACCATGTTGGCCAGGCTGGTCTTGAACTCCTGACCTCAGGTGATCTGCCTGCCTTGGCCTCCCAAAGTGCTTGGATTACAGGCATGAGCCACTGCACCCAGCCTGCCTTCTCTTTGCATTTGCTAACTTTCCCTATGTTCTCCCACAGCATCTCCATAGTTTTCTACAAGGGTGAAGTGGATCAGAGACCCCACTGGTTCTGGTGTTTTCCATAGAGAGTGCCGCTTGCTGTGCAGCCTCCTGTTCCAGCCAGGACTGGCAGCTCTCTGGGCAGAGGCTGCGCTGTGATGCTGTGACCCCCTTTACGTTCACCCTCTGTCCTGTTAGGTCCCCCGTTTCCTAATACCTCTGTGCTTCATTTTGGGTTTCTCTCTTCATGTGGTTCAAACCAAGGTTAAAATAATTAAGACTGTATACCAGAAAGTAACTTTGTTCTGCCCTGATACTTGATCGTTTTAGCTGGGTATAGAATTCTAGGCTGGACCAGGCACAGTGACTCATGCATGTAATCCTAACACTTTGGGAGAACAACATGAGAAATCTCTTGAGCCCAGGAGTTCAAAATCGGCCTGGGCAGCATGGCAAGACCCCATCTCTACAAAAAAATTTTAAAATAGCTGGGCACGGGGCTGGGCACAGTGGCTCATGCCTGTAATCCCAGCACTTTGGGAGACGAAGGCAGGTAGATCATGAGGTCAGGAGTTCAAGACCAGCCTGGCCAAGATGGTGAAACCCCATCTCTACTAAAAATATAAAAATTAGCCAGGCATGGTGGCGGGTGCCTGTAATCCCAGCTACTCGGGAGGCTGAGGCAGAAAATTGCTTGAACCCAGGAGGTGGAAACTGCAGTGAGCTGAGATCACGCCGCTGCACTCCAGCCTGGGCGACAGCGAGACTCTGACTCGGGGGTGGGGAAAGAAAAAGAAAAAAAAAAATATCTAGGCACAGTGGCACATGCCTGTAGTCCCAGCTACTGGGGAGGCTGAAGCAGAAGGATCACTTGAGCCCACGAGATGAAGACAACTGTACCACTGCTCTCCAGCCCAGATGACAGTGAGACCCGGTTTCAAAAACAAAAGAATTCTAGGCCGAAAAGCCTTTTTAACTGATTTCTGGAGTCATCAGTTGTTCCATTGTCTCCTAGCTGTTCATGTTTGTTTGCTCTTTGTATTCCCAAGTATTTACAATAACCTAGAGTTTTAGAAGCCCCTCTTTCTTTATCCTCAGGGTTCTGACACTTGACAATGATAAGCTTTGCTGTGGGGTCTTTCTCAGTCATTGTCAGGGCCGCTTTCAATCTAGAAGATAATGGCCTCATTGCCAAGAAACTATCTTGCATTTTTGTTTTTTGTTTTGTTTTGTTTTGTTTTGTTTGAGACAAGGTCTGTTTCTGTCTCCCAGGATGGAGTGCAGTGGTACAATCCAGGCTCGTTGCACCCTCTGCCTTCCAGGCTCAAGCCATCCCCAACCTCAGCCTCCCACGTAGCTGGGGCCATAAGTACACAACTCCATGCCTGGCTAATTTTCATAGTGTTTGTAGACACGGGAAGTGGGGGATGGTGTCTCCCTATGTTGCCAAGGCTGGTCTCAAACTCGTGAGCTCAAGTCATCTGCCTGCCTTGGTCTCCCAAAGTGTTGGGATTACAGGCATGAGCCACCATGCCTGGTGCCAAGAAACTATCTTGCATTCTATGTTCATTTCCTCCTTTCAGTTTTCTATTCTTTCTGGAATTCCTACTCATCCTATATTGGGCTTCTAGACTTGTTCCTACATTAGGAGGAGAGGAAAGATAAAAAAACTATCTCTATTTTGCTTTTGGAATATCTCCTTGAGACAATAGTAGAATCTAAGCCTTCTTTTGAAGTTTTTTTTCTATTTTTTAATTTTAAGAACTTTCTTATTCTGTTCCCTTTGTTATCCTTTTTCTAGTATCCTGTTCCTTTTTCATGCAGACAATGCTCTTTTGTATCTCACTGAGGACATTAACATTCTCTTCCCTTTAAGACCTTTTCTCCCATGTGTGGGGGCTTTCCTCAGATGGCTGGTGACCCAGGGGTCTGATCCCACTGAAGCACTAAGGTTGACAGGAAGCCTTCTGTGGGGCCAGCGCCATCACTAACTTTCCCTCTGCAGGGTGCCTGGGGGTCTGGCAGGCAGGAGCTGTAGGACACTTCTCTGGGGGCATTCAACCTCCCTCAGCAGGGACTCCCCACCTCCTGCCTGGCCAGGGAACTGACTGCTGGGCCCATTGCTCATTCGGGATGCCCAGTTTCAGGCTGGTGCCTCACCCTGGCCTGTCTCTAGTATCCCATGCTGAAGCTTCCCTGGGTCAGGTGCTCCTGGAATTAAACATGAGGTCTCCTTCAATTGTTGGCAAGAGCCATCATCTGGCCAAGTGGGCCCTGAAGTCTCTAGCTGACACTCCCTAGAGGTTTTCAACCCTCCCCCCTTGTTCCTGTCCCCCGATCACTCCCACCTCTTGCCTTTCCTGGTACCTGAACAGATGGTCTTCCTTCTCACCAGGATGCCCTGTTCTGGCACAGAGATTTCTGAAGCTTCCCTCAGCAGGTTGCCACCCTCCCTCCATGTCCATCTTCCAAAATCTGATCACATCTTTGTCTTTTCCTCTATTACTTTCTTTGTCTATGGTGTTTTCTTTTTTGTGTAAGCCCTTTCCTGTTATTTCAATAGAGTTTAAGGGGGGAGCAGAGGTAAAAGCAGGCTTAACTACAAGTACCTCCATCTGTAATATTTAAATTATTTTTCTCCTTTATTCTTCCCAACTTGTGATTATGAAAAGGTTGAAGCTGCCGGGTACAGTGGCTCACGCCTGTAATCCCAGCATTTTGGGAGGCCAAGGCGGGCAGATCACCTGAGGTCGGGAGTTCGAGACCAGCCTGACCAACACAGAGAAACCTCGTCTCTACTAAAAATACAAAATTAGCCAGGCGTGATGGTGCATGCCTGTAATCCCAGCTACTGGGAAAGGCTGAGGCAGGAGAATCGCTTGAACCCGGGAGGCAGAGGTTGTAGTGAGCCAAGATCACACCATTGCACTCCAGCCTGGACAACAAGAGCAAAAGTCTGTCTCAAAAAAAAAAAAAAAAAAAAAGATAAGAAAAAAAAAAGGTTGAAACAAACAGAAAAGTTGAAAAGTTGAAAGAATAGTACAATCAATACCCATATGCTTTGTAAATGGGTAATGAGACTCGCCTGTAAGCAGATCAGAGAAATTATAGAATTAGGATCTCTCCAACTTGGTGATGAAAGCGTGAGATTTTCAGGCCTTGTCGTAAGACTGGACAGGCTACTTTGTCTACGGAGTAGCCATTCTTGTATTCCTTTACTTTCTTAAGAAATGTGCTTTCACTTAAAAAAAAGACTAGACGATGCTCCGTGCCCTGCTGCCTCACAAAGCCTCTGCGTGTCGGTTTATCAAAGATCCCACGACCAGGAGGGGCCCTGTGGCTTCGGGGCCTGTAGCCTCCCAGCCAGGAGCAGCCTGGGTCTCAGTTGTGGCTCCCTCAGCAGGTTCTCAGCCCCCCAACCAAAAGGCCTTGGCACTTCACATGAAAGCTGCCGCTTACCCTACACACACTGCCACCGGGAGGCAGCTGTTGACTCGTTCGTTCCCCTTTGGGCCCTGCTCTGGGAACAGTCCCTTCTAGGCAGTTAACCTGTGAGTCATCCAGCTTATAGTTCCTCATAAAGAAAGAAACTAGCCCTAACTTCCACAACAGTCTAAGCCGCTCCTCCACTGGCTCTCCTCAGCTGAAACCACTCAGTCTATTTTACTGAAATATTCCTTGTTTGTAGAGCTTCAGGCTCCTCCCTAGTTCGGAGAAAGCAATTCTATCCACTTTAAGCCTTTAGCTTTTAGTGCTCAAAGACATCTGAGGGCCGGGTGCAGTGGCTCACGCCTGTAATCCCAGCACTTGGGGAGGCTGAGGCGGGTGGATCACGAGGTCAGGATATCGAGACCATCCTGGCCAACAAGGTGAAACCCCGTCTCTACTAAAAATACAAAAAACTAGCCGGGCGTGGTGGTGGGCGCCTGTGGTCCCAGCTACTCGGGAGGCTGAGACAGGAGAATGGCGTGAACCCAGGAGCCAAGATCGTGCCACTGCACTCCAGCCTGGGCAACAGAGCGAGACTCCGTCTCAGAAAAAAAAAGACATCTGAGCATCTGCAAGATTATTCCTGTCTGTGCCAAGTGGGGCGTCCAGTTCAGTTCCGAGATGCTGCACCAGCACAGGTGGGTCTTGAGACAGTGTGACCCCAAGCACCTGGGCAGCCTCCCAGACAAATCCCAGGCCCCACCAACACTCACTCACCAGGATCAAAAAAGGTAAGGTCTGGGGATCTGCACTGTTTTAAAAGTCTCTACCTGAACCTAGACTTGGTTTTGTGACTTCCCGGGATGTCTCCTTTGTTCTTTGAGTGAAGGACTCTTGTTCATATCTCCAAATTCACCGGCAATCTCTCAGACCTTTACTACGTCCAGAGTGAGTGGCAGGATTTAGGCACAGCCGATCTCTCAATCATGACCTCGGTGTTCCACTGTTTACCCTCCTTGGAAAGCATTAAGAATACTGATTCTTGGCCGGGCTCGGTGGCTCACACCTGTAATCCCAGCACTTTGGGAGGCCGAGGCAGGTGTCGAGATCAGCCTGGCCAACACAGTGAAACCCCGTCTCTACTAAAAATACAAAAAATAGCTAGGCGTTGTGGTGGGCACCTATAATCCCAGCTACTTGGGAGGCTGAGGCAGGAGAATCGCTTGAACCTGGAAGGCAGAGGTTGCAGTGAGCCGAGATCACACCACTGCACTCCAGCCTAGGCGACAAGGGTGAAAGTCTGTCTCAAAGAAAAAAAAAAAAAAACAGACTAGCGATTCTTCTTTCCTATTCTCTGACTTCACCTCTAAACTCTAGTACAGAAGCCATGCGTGTTTGGGCTGTTTAGTTCAGAAGCAATGCCAAGATGTCACTGCCGCCTCAAAGTGGAATGAGCAAGGCCAGGCGCAGTGGTTCACACCTGTAATCCCAGCACTTTGGGAGGCCAAGACGGGTGGATCACCTGAGGTCAGAAGTTCAAGACCAGCCTGGCCAACGTGGCGAAACCCCGTCTCTACTAAAAAAATACAAAACTTAGCTGGGCGTGGTGGCGGGTACCTGTAATCCCACTTACCCAGGAGGCTGAAGCAGGAGAATCACTTGAACCCAGGAGGGGGAGGTTGCAGTGAGCAGAGATGGCACCACTGCACTCCAGCCTCCGTGACAGAGCAAGACTCCATCTCAAAAAAAAAAAAAAATCGGAATGAGCAAAGTTGGAGCAGATGGCAGTCACGCCCTGTAGCCACAGGAGGCAGCAGGCATGGTTCGGACGCCCCTCCTAGCAGCATTCTTTCAGACACTGAACACAACCTTTGGACAGGCTGGGTGGACACAGCCTGCCACTGCAGTCACAAAAACAAGCTCACTCGTCTAGCGAGAGATGCAGGTGTCCCAGCGATCCATCTGCCATCACAGATCCACCGTCATCTTGAACTAGAAGTTGGCTTCATTCACTGATTCTCACTGCCGCATGCCTAACCCTGCAGCACCCACCCGAGACCCTTAGCCAGACGCAACAGGCACTTTCTAAAGCCCAGCAGGGAGGGGTCTCAGAGCCTGAGCTCATGCCTGGGGTCAGGTGGCACCTTCACCCACCCCACAGACCCACTGTGCAACCTGAGGCACCAGAACCGGGTGTCACCCAGAGCACCTGCCTCCACCTTCTCCCCGCTCTGAGGCAGGCCCAGCACTCAGAAGCACCAGAAAGGTTTGGGGGTTGTAAACTAAAAGAAGGAAAAGATAAATAGCATGTCAACTAACTACTACCCAGGTCCTCAAAAGTCCAAATCCCAAGGCCTGGCTTAGGGGAAATTGCAGACTATTGTTCATCCAAAGGAGGGCAGTCAGAGGTGACAGGCAAGACCTGCAACCACAGTCTGGTCACCCTCCCTCACTGGGATTATCCCAACCAAATGCCAGCTGATTCGACTTCACTCCATGTAGAAAGCTCGAGAATTTTGTCAGGGAATTCAACCTTGAGTTGCCCGTGGTCCAGCACTACTAAAGGTTGATTTGAGGCAACAAATCCTCACCAGTGTCAAGGGCATGTCAATTACCCATTCCTTTGCAGTATTCCAGGTGAAAGTTACATAAAGTGCAGGCTGAGTTAGGGAAGCACTGGGCAAGGAGGTGCACTCACCCAGAGGGCTAAGGGCAGCTGCCACACTCTCCCCAACGTTCTTCAGGAAATTCACACTCGGATCCTCCGATGGACCAGAAGCTTTGATTTTTACAAAGATAAGATAAAGATATCTTTAATGCCTTGGATACCTGTCACAGTCCTGTCACCTTCTTGCCAAGGTCCCTGTGTTCCCGGGTGACCTTTAACCCGGACATCTTGTCCAGTGACCCACTCAGCATCCCCCTCTCCTTCCTCCCACTCTGCACCCCCTGGCCCTGCACAGAGAGCATCTCCACTCTCCCGTGCCATCTCCCCCTCATCTGTGACCCTGGTGCTCAGCAACCCCACAGAGGCTCAGGCTCAGTACACTGTGAATATTGATCACCTCCTTGAGTAAATATGTTATTTACTCAAAGTCAAGCAAACATCCCCATCTTTGTCCCAAAGGGTGAGGTGATTCACAGGACACAGTAACATTAATAAAATCAGAATCCAAAAATCTAGACTACAAAGCTAACGGTAAGTCTTTCACTTATAACTATGTTTCAAAGGACTTCAGCAACTTTGGCTCTGATCTTCCTGACAACCATCACAAAAGAGAACAAAGTGCATCAAAGACCCCTGGGCTGGAAGGGCCTCCCTGCCTGCACCTCAGGGTACCTTGAGAGGGCAGCCTCCTGAGGTAGGAAGGGCTGTGCAGGTAAATTTGTGGCCTCAGGCACTTAGGCACCTCAGTTTCCCCATTTGGGAAATGGAGAGAATACACCCCACTTTGCAGGGTTCTTGTGTGATTGTAGGGCACCAGGAAGGTGGGGGGTATCCTGAATTCTTGCCTTGCACACACGCTTTGCACAAGGGCCCTGCACACAGGCTGCCTGACTACTGTCACCAATCAGAAGCAGGTTCCAACACAAGCCTCACCTGATTCTGCCGTGGGGCCAGGGCGGGCCTCCCCTGCACGAGGAGGACGTGGGCTCCAGTTTCCTGGTGGACCCATTTCCCATCCTGGCCACCCGAAGTGTCCGTGTTTCACCTTCCGGAGCCAGCGGCTGTGCGAGAAGCCCTGGGGGAGGAATTAGCAGAGCGGCAGGCAGTGAGCGGGTCAAGGTTCCTGCCACCCTGAGCCCACCCCAGGCCTGCACAGAGGGCCTGCTCACCTCAGACAGGTGCCCGAAGGGGCTGGGGAATGCGAGCTTGGTGTGCCCCCGGTGCAAGCCCTTTCCCTCGCAGACGCTACACAAGTCGTAGTCTGGGCAGACGCTGCACTTGTAGCGGGTTCCTACCACAGGCCCATTGCAGCCATCGCAGATCACATTGGGGTGCACCATGTTGCGGGGCGCCTCCTGAGCACACGGTGGGCGGTGGTCCCGCCGGCACTCTTTTTTCTCTACAGGAAGGGTAAAGAGAGCCGCTAGGGTGGGACCCCCTAAAGTCCTCCCCCTCTGTCGTCACTGTGGGGCTGTCACTGCCAGCAAGGCCCCCGGCCCTGCTCTCCAGCATGGAATCCACACAAAATTCAGCCACTTAGGTGAGGGCAGCAGAGCCACCAAGAACCTGCTAGGAGGTTCCCAGTCCCTGTGTCTGTTTGGCCCAGGCAGCAGAGCAGCAGCAAGGAGCCCTGTCTGCACAGCTTTGGCCTTGCCCTTCACCCAAGCGCCACGGCACCAGACCCCATCCCTAACCCAAGCACCACGGCACCAGACCCCATCCCTAGAGTGAACATGGACTCCTCTTTCTCAGGTCAGGCACAGCACTTAAAATGTCTTTTTTTTTTTTTTTTTTTTTTTTTTTTTTTTTTTGTCGCCTAGGCTGGAGTACAGTCATGTGATTTCGGCTCATGGCAACCTCCGCTCTCCAGGTTTAAGTGATTCTCGTCTCAGCCTCCTGA